>NT_167211.2:0-1507 GCF_000001405.40 Homo sapiens | reverse complement strand
TGGAATGGAATGGAATGGAATGACATTGAATGGAATGGAATGAATTGGAATGGAATGGAATGGAATGAACCTTATTGGAATGGAATGGAATGGAATGGAATGGAATCAAGTCGAATGGAATGGAATGACATGGAATGGAATGGAATGGAATGGAATCAAGTCGAGTGGAATGGAATGGAATGGAATGACATGGAATGGAATGGAATGGAATGGAATGAAATCAAGTCGAGTGGAAAGGAATGGAATGGAATGGAATGGCATGGAATCAACACGAGTGGAATGGAACAGAATGGAATCGAATGGAATGGAGTGGAATGGAATGGAATGGAATAGAGTACAATGGAATTGAATCAGCCTGTGTGGAATCGAATGGAATGGAATGGATTGGAATGGAATGGAATGGAACAGAAACTACCAGAGTGGAATGGAATGGAATGGAATGGAATGGAATTGAATCAACCCGAGTGGAATGGAATGGAATGGAATGGAATGGAATTCCATGGAATCAACATGAGTGGAATGTAATGGAATGGAATGGAACAGAATAGAATGGAATGGAATGCAATGGAATGGAATAGAAAGGAATTGAATCAACCCGAGTGGAATGGAATGGAATGAAATTGCAGGGAATGGAATTCAATGGAATAGAATGGAATTGAATCAACCCGAGGGGAATTGAATGGAATTGAATGGAATGGACTGGAATGGAATGGATTGGAATGGAAAGGAATGGAATGGAATGGAATCAACCCGAGTGGAATGGAATGGAATGGAATGGAATGGAATGGAATGGAATGGAATGGAATGGAATTGAATGGGATGGAATAGGATGGAAATGAATCTACCCAAGTGGAATGCAATGGAATGGAATGGAATGGAATGGAATCAACATTTAGGAGTGAAATGGAATGGAATGGAATCAACGGGAGTGGAAAAGAATGGAATGCAACGGTATTCCATGGAATCAACACGAGTGGATTGGAATGGAATGGAATGCAAGGGAATACAATGGAATGGAATGCAATGCAAAAGAATGGAATTGAATCAACCCTAGTGAAATGGAATGGAATGGAATGGAATCGAATGGCATTGAATGGAATTGAATTGAATCGAATGGAATGGAATGGAAACAACACAAGTGGAATGGAATGCAAAGGAATGGAATCGAATGGAATGGAATCAACACGAGTGGAATAGAATGGAATGGAATGGAAAGGAAAAGTAGGGAATTGAAAAAACTAGTAAGGAATGGAATGGAATGGAATGGAATCGAATCAAATGGAATGGAATGGAGTGGAATACAATGGAATTGAATCAATACGAGTGCAATGGAATTGAACGGAATGGAAAGGAATGGAACGGAATGGAAAGGAATGGAATCAACGCGAATGGAATGGAATAGAATGGTACTGAATCTACCCGAGTGGAATGGAATGGAATTGAATAGAATGGAAATGAATCAACACGAGTGGAATGGAATGGAATGGAATGGAATAGAATTGAATTG
>NT_167209.1:0-137718 GCF_000001405.40 Homo sapiens | reverse complement strand
GAATTCCACAACTTTACGTTTCCCTTTCCTAACCAAGCAGGACAGTCACTCATGTCATTGTGTTCTCCCGTGACCTCCTCTGGAGATTCTTCACAGTCACCTCATTCATCAATAATATACCATATGTTCTTACTGCCATCATCCAGCAGCTCACCCCCAGCCACCCATGACTCTCCTGTCTGTCCCAGCTACTCTCCAACTACGCCCAGATTTCAGCGGGAGTCTGTACCCCACACCCCAGAAACACCTACAAACTCACAGACCTCAGTGAGATCCTCGCCAGTCTCTCTCACGTCTTCACCCCCAGCCCTTACGGACCCTCCAGTCTGTCCCAGCTACTCTCCAACCACGCCCACATTTCAGCGCGGGTCAGTTCCAGGAACCCAGGGATCACCACCAAGCCCACCGCTTTCACTGAGTTACTCCCCAGTCTCTAGCACGTCTTTATCTCCAACCCTCAGGGACTCGCCTGTCTGTCCCAGCTACTCTCCAAACACGCCCACACTTCAGCGGGAGTCCATTGCAGGCACCCAGAAGTCACCACCAAACTCACCAATTTCACTGCGTTACTCCCCAGTCTCTCTCATGTCTTCACCATCCCTCAGGGACTCTCCCGTCTGTCCCAGCTACTCTCCAACCACGCCCACACTTCAGCGGGAGTCAGTTCCAGGCACCCCGGAATCACCACCAAACTCACCAATTTCACTCAGTTACTCCTCAGTCTCTAGCACGTCTTTATCTCCAACCCTCAGGGACTCTCCTGTGTGTCCCAGCTACTCTCCAACCACGCCCACACTTCAGCGGGCGTCAGTTCCAGGCACCCAGGAATCACCACCAAACTCACAAATTTCACTGAATTACTCCCCAGTCTCTCTCGTGTCTTCACCAGCCCTCAGGGACTCTCCTGTCTGTCCCAGCTACTCTCCAACCACGCCCACATTTCAGCTGGAGTCAGTTCCAGGCACCCCGGAGTCACCACCAAACTCACCAGTTTCACTCAGTTACACCCCGGTCTCTCTCATGTCTTCACCCCCAGCCCTCAGGGACTCTCCTGTGCGTCCCAGCTACTCTCCAACCATGCCCAGATTTCAGCGGGAGTCAGTTCCAGGCACCCATGTATCACCACCAAACTCAGCATTTCACTGAGTTACTCCCCAGTCTCTCTCATGTCTTCACCCCCAGACCCCTGGGACTCTCCTGTCTGTCCCAGCTACTCTCCCACCACGCCCAGATTTCAGCGGGAGTCAGCCTCCCACACTCCGGAATCAGATACAGACTCACAGACTTCACTGAGCTCCTCCCTGGTCTCTCTCAGGTCTTTGCCCTCATCCCACAGGGACTCTTGTGTCTCTTTCAGCTACTCTCAAAACTTCTCTAGATTCCAGCTGGAGTCAGTTCCAGGCACCCACGATACACCACCGAACTCACGAATTTCACTGACTTACTCCCCTGTCTCCCTCATGTTCTCACCCCCAGCCCTCAGGGACTCTTCTGTCTCTCTCAGCTACTCTCCAACCATCTCCAGATTTCACCTGGAGTCAGCTTCCCACACCCTGGAATCACCTGCAAACTCACGGACCTTACTGCAACCATCCCCCATTTCTTTCACCTCTTCACCCCCTGCCTTCAGGGACTCTCCTGGGTCTCCCAGCTTCTCTCCAGCCTTCCCCAGATTTCTGCCACAGTCAGCAACAGGCACCCAGGACAACCCTAGACACTCACAGGCCTCACCAGACTATCTCCCTATGACCTGTACCTATACAGTGATGGCTCCCACGCATCCCTCAGTGACCCCAAACCCATCTCCACTTACACTCAGGCACTCCCAGGGCCTGACAGCTACACCCTGTTATTGTCCTTCAGTTCGAAGCCCTGGCCAATCTACTAGCCCACATGACGCAGTTACCTGGCCATTTCTCCACGGTTCCCGGGAGGGCCCCACACCCAGCCGCACAAGAGCCCCTCCTGCATTCCGTCCTCACACGCAGGCCTGTCCATCTACTTGCTACTGTCACACTCTTGCCAGCAGAAGAGGCCCCTGTAATGGCCGATATCACCACCCAGTCTATCCTCACCCCACAGCTGCGCAGCGGGAACCCCCTGCTGGCCCACGTGGCTGCCACAGCCCATGCTGGCACGACGCTCCAGCAGGTCGGCGTCCCTGCGGGCCAAACTACCGGTGACATGTCTAGCGTGACCCTCCTTCCTGGCAGTGACACTGTTGATGTGAACCCCAATTTCACATCTGTCATTTGTAAATAGGACCATTTTCCCTTTTCGCTCTCCCTTCCATTCACAGGGCTTTTCATTCTCTCTGTTACTGCCTCCGTTTCAGATATTTACTCACCTTTTTCTCTCTCACTATGTCTGCCGTGGTCTCCATGAGAGTGCGCCACATAAGATTCCCCCATTAAAAGTCATGAATTGAGTGGCTTTTAGTATACCTGTGGTTGTGCACATTCGAATTTAATTCGCAATTCATTGTAGAACGTCTTATCACTCCCGGCCAGAGAAAAACCCTGTAGACATTAGTCACTCCTCATTCTGTCTCAAACCCTCTCCCTGACCCTCAGCCCTAGGTAGCAACTACCTAGTGCGATCAATCCCATATGCATAGATTATCATATTGTGGACATTTCCTATAAGCGGAATTGCACAATAGGTGAGCTGTTATGACTGACATAACACGTAGCACAATATTTTCAAGATTCGTCCACATTGTAGGCTTACCCACAGGGGGAAACCATTTTTTTGGGGGCTTTTAGTAACACCGGTGTTTTCTCCTTCCTTACGTCCTTCTTTCCTTCCTTCCTTCCTTCCTTCCTTCCTTCCTTCCTTCCTTCCTTCCTGACTTCCTTCTTTCCTTCCCTCCTTCCTCCTATTTCTCTCTTACTCCTTCTGCCCTCTCTCTTTCCTATGCCTTAGGTGCATCCCACATTCTGCGTTTTTTTGGGGAAATCCTCGACAGGTGCAGGAAAATTGTGTTATTGTAACTATTTACCGTTATCTCTCTTTCACGGCTCTCCATCAGTTGTGAACATCTATTGGTTTATCCCAAGTCACTAAGCATATTTTCATTAGGTAAACCTGTTTTTCCTTATACAGCTGTTTCTGGAGTATAGGGTCGCATACTCATAAACCCAGTGTAACTCAGAAACGCATCTAATATTCCAGTAAACCCATCATAACGTTGAAAAATCGTAAATCAAACCATCATAAGTCACGGTTTGTCCGTGGATATGGGCGTCATCAATTCCATTGTATTCAGTAATGCTGTACACCATTAACAATGGCAGACTGATTGGGAGTGGATATTGATAGCATTATGAAAGTCAGTTATTAGAGGGATACTTCTTTAACCTGACTGAAGAACTGATCTAATGGCTTTAGTACAGTGCATGATTATGTGCGATGTTTTGAGACAGAGTAGTACATTTGTGAATGAAATTTTATGGCTTTTTTTTCACTTAGTAGGAACCATTGTGTGTGGAAAAGTGAGAAAATGGCTTTCTGCTGTAGGGTCTGGCATTCATTGTAGATGTAAGCTTATTTTTCTGTGAGCAAATCTTATTCAATAAAATACTACTCTTTATACTAAAAAGCAAAAACAGTGGTGATGTGTGGTCATTACCCTCAGCAAACTTATCCAGGGAAAAGAAAACCAAACGCCACAACTCACTTATAATGGGAGCTGAAAAATGAGATCCCATGGACACAGGAAGGGGAACAACACACACTGGGGCCTTCCGGGAGACAGAGCGTTAAGAAAAACAGCTACTGCATGCTGGGCCTAATACCTAGGTGATGGGTTGACAGGTGCAGCAAACCACCATGGCACACGTTAACCTTAGTAACAAATCTGCACATCCTGCACATATACCCCAGAACTTAGGAACGAAACGAAACAAAAGACAACGAAAAAGCAACAGCAAAACGCTAAAGGCAAAATAAAGTTTCAAACTGAGAAAGTGACAGACCAACGTCTGGTTCAAATCATGGTTCTCAACCCAGGTGCCATAAGGTCGGGATAAAGGATGTGATTACATATTGTCAATAAGACATGCAGCAAATGACCAGAATGATTATTCTCCACATATGTGTGTCTTCTAATTCAATGGTGACGCTATCTACCGGGACATAGCATTAGATTCCAAAGGGCCGAGTCCCGCCAGACAGGCCTCCCACACTAATAACAATGGGAAGCCCTACGTTGCTTTACCTGTGCTTCTCAGCCACTGGCTATAAATCAGGTTGCCACCACTCCCAGATTTAGTTGCATTCATTTGCTGGAAGAGCTCACAGCACGCAGGGAAACACTTACATCTGCCGTTGTATTTTAGCGGACATTGCACAAAGTTCAGAAATAAATGTGGGGCCCGGCACGTGGGGAGGGGCGCACTACCTTCCAGGAAGTGTTATCCAGAAGCTCTCTGAACCCAGTCCTTTTGGGTTTTGATGGAGACCTCATTCTATAGGCATGATGGGTTAAACCATAGGCTATTGGTGATCAACTCCACCTGGGGCTCTCCACCCTCCCTGGAAATTGGGGTTGAGGCTTTGCCATCCTCAGTCTGACTAAAAGAATTTACCCAAACGGAATTTTAAAACAGATGAGCATAACTGGAATCTTAATTAGATGATTGGATTATCTGGAGCCACACCTTGATATTCCTAACCCGAGCACCCTCATCCAACGAATGCTCCACCCAACTGGCTCCCAAGTCTCTACGTGGTTCCAGAGCAAAAGGATGTTGATACAACGCATATCTCCACCTTTTCTTCAAAGTCTTTTCGCTTACACGGAAAGACTTCTTCAACTGCCATGCATCAGGGTCAGGGGGAGGTCTTGTTACAACCCAGATCTGCGGATCTCCGGCGTTTGACTGTGGCAAGGATGCTGCTGGTGTCAAAACCACAACGTGGGAACCACAGAACCACTAGTGGGTTTTCAGTGTTTCAGTGCATACAATTCCTAATATTTCTGGCCAAGAAAACTTGTAAGTTCTTAGATTGTCCCAAAGGTGGCGCATGAAATCAAAGCAGGAGAACAGTTTCCTACGAGGTGTAGCCTGGGAAAGTTGGGGGTGACTGATGGAAAGGAGGAGTGAAGCTCCGCCCTTTCCGCTGCTAGGCTGCGCCCGAGGCTATTTAAACCCACCCTGGCTGGCCTGTACTCAGATCTTCGCGGAGCGGATCAGCGGCCGGAGCGTTTGGCGGACTCTGCGTGGATTTGGAGCTCACAGCGTCTTGCGACTTGGAAGCGGGTTCAGAGGACAGGACAGAACACTTGGGCAAGTGAATCTCTGTCTGTCTGTCTGTCTGTCTGTCTGTCTGTCTCATTGGTTGGTTGATTTCCATTTTCTTAAGGGGCACATACCTCACACCGCACACACACAAACACACACACGCACACACACACGCACACGCACACGCACACACACGCACACACACTCCTTCCTTCTGCGAGTTAGAACATTAGTAGGGGCCCCTGGGCGCTGCAGGTTTCCTAATCATGTCTGCACCTAAGAACAGTAGGGTCTTGTCTGGCTCTTCTTATGAACGGTTCCCCAGCCCGGACTCCCCAAGGTCCATGCGAGCCTCACCCAGCTTCTCCCTCTCCCCTCTCAGAAACTCAGGCTTAAGGGGAAGCTCCTCACCAGGGATCCGGAGCTACCATTCACCATCCCCTAGGGCTTCACCACACTCACCTCTGTCATCACCAGAATCCCACAAGCTCCCATTTCCCTGTCCTCACCGTGATGGGCAATCAATGAAGCCATTGGGCTCTCCCGTGTCCTCTTCTGAGGATTCCTCAGAGTCCCCACGTTCATCAATAATATACCACATGTTCTTACTGCCATCACCCAGCAGCTCACCCCCAGCTCTCGGGGGGTCTCCTGTGTCTCCCAGCTACTCTCCAAACAACCCCAGATTTCAGCTGCGGTCAGCCCCCCACACCCAGGAATCACCTACAAACTCACGAGCCTCACTTTGCTCCACCCCCGTGTCTTTCATCTCTTCACCCCCAGGCCTCAGGGACTCTCCTGTGGCTCCCAGTTACTCTCCAGCCATCCCCAGGTTCCTGCGGGAGTCAGCCCCATGCGCCCAGGGGTCCCCCAGAGACTCACAGGTCTCGGGAGATTATGAGCGGTCCCCCAGCCCTGACTCCTCAAGATTCATGTCTGCCTCACCCAGCTTCTCCCTCTCCCCTCCCAGAAACTCAGACCCAAGGGGCAGCTCCTCACCAGGGATGTGGAAGTCCTCTACATCATCCCGCAGGGCTTCACCACTCTCACATCCGTCATCAACAGAATTCCACAACTTTACGTTTCCCTTTCCTAACCAAGCAGGACAGTCACTCATGTCATTGTGTTCTCCCGTGACCTCCTCTGGAGATTCTTCACAGTCACCTCATTCATCAATAATATACCATATGTTCTTACTGCCATCATCCAGCAGCTCACCCCCAGCCACCCATGACTCTCCTGTCTGTCCCAGCTACTCTCCAACTACGCCCAGATTTCAGCGGGAGTCTGTACCCCACACCCCAGAAACACCTACAAACTCACAGACCTCAGTGAGATCCTCGCCAGTCTCTCTCACGTCTTCACCCCCAGCCCTTACGGACCCTCCAGTCTGTCCCAGCTACTCTCCAACCACGCCCACATTTCAGCGCGGGTCAGTTCCAGGAACCCAGGGATCACCACCAAGCCCACCGCTTTCACTGAGTTACTCCCCAGTCTCTAGCACGTCTTTATCTCCAACCCTCAGGGACTCGCCTGTCTGTCCCAGCTACTCTCCAAACACGCCCACACTTCAGCGGGAGTCCATTGCAGGCACCCAGGAATCACCACCAAACTCACAAATTTCACTGAATTACTCCCCAGTCTCTCTCGTGTCTTCACCAGCCCTCAGGGACTCTCCTGTCTGTCCCAGCTACTCTCCAACCACGCCCACATTTCAGCTGGAGTCAGTTCCAGGCACCCCGGAGTCACCACCAAACTCACCAGTTTCACTCAGTTACTCCCCGGTCTCTCTCATGTCTTCACCCACAGCCCTCGGGGACTCTCCTGTGCGTCCCAGCTACTATCCAACCATGCCCAGATTTCAGCGGGAGTCAGTTCCAGGCACCCATGTATCACCACCAAACTCAGCAGTTTCACTGAGTTACTCCCCAGTCTCTCTCAGGTCTTCACCCCCAGACCCCTGGGACTCTCCTGTCTGTCCCAGCTACTCTCCCACCACGCCCAGATTTCAGCGGGAGTCAGCCTCCCACACTCCGGAATCAGATACAGACTCACAGACTTCACTGAGCTCCTCCCTGGTCTCTCTCAGGTCTTTGCCCTCATCCCACAGGGACTCTTGTGTCTCTTTCAGCTACTCTCAAAACTTCTCTAGATTCCAGCTGGAGTCAGTTCCAGGCACCCACGATACACCACCGAACTCACGAATTTCACTGACTTACTCCCCTGTCTCCCTCATGTTCTCACCCCCAGCCCTCAGGGACTCTTCTGTCTCTCTCAGCTACTCTCCAACCATCTCCAGATTTCACCTGGAGTCAGCTTCCCACACCCTGGAATCACCTGCAAACTCACGGACCTTACTGCAACCATCCCCCATTTCTTTCACCTCTTCACCCCCTGCCTTCAGGGACTCTCCTGGGTCTCCCAGCTTCTCTCCAGCCTTCCCCAGATTTCTGCCACAGTCAGCCCCAGGCACCCAGGACAACCCTAGACACTCACAGGCCTCACCGGACTATCTCCCTATGACCTGTACCTATACAGGGATGGCTCCCACGCATCCCTCAGTGACCCCAAACCCATCTCCACTTACACTCAGGCACTCCCAGGGCCTGACAGCTACTCCCCGTTATTGTCCTTCACTTCGAAGCCCTGGCCAATCTACTAGCCCACATGACGCAGTTACCTGGCCATTTCTCCACGGTTCCCGGGAGGGCCCCACACCCAGCCGCACAAGAGCCCCTCCTGCATTCCGTCCTCACACGCAGGCCTGTCCATCTACTTGCTACTGTCACACTCTTGCCAGCAGAAGAGGCCCCTGTAATGGCCGATATCACCACCCAGTCTATCCTCACCCCACAGCTGTGCAGCGGGAACCCCCTGCTGGCCCACGTGGCTGCCACAGCCCATGCTGGCACGACGCTCCAGCAGGTCGGCGTCCCTGCGGGCCAAACTACCGGTGACATGTCTAGCGTGACCCTCCTTCCTGGCAGTGACACTGTTGATGTGAACCCCAATTTCACATCTGTCATTTGTAAATAGGACCATTTTCCCTTTTCGCTCTCCCTTCCATTCACAGGGCTTTTCATTCTCTCTGTTACTGCCTCCGTTTCAGATATTTACTCACCTTTTTCTCTCTCACTATGTCTGCCGTGGTCTCCATGAGAGTGCGCCACATAAGATTCCCCCATTAAAAGTCATGAATTGAGTGGCTTTTAGTATACCTGTGGTTGTGCACATTCAAATTTAATTCGCAATTCATTGTAGAACGTCTTATCACTCCCGGCCAGAGAAAAACCCTGTAGACATTAGTCACTCCTCATTCTGTCTCAAACCCTCTCCCTGACCCTCAGCCCTAGGTAGCAACTACCTAGTGCGATCAATCCCATATGCATAGATTACCATATTGTGGACATTTCCTATAAGCGGAATTGCACAATAGGGGAGCTGTTATGACTGACATAACACGTAGCACAATATTTTCAAGATTCGTCCACATTGTAGGCTTACCCACAGGGGGAAACCATTTTTTTGGGGGCTTTTAGTAACACCGGTGTTTTCTCCTTCCTTACGTCCTTCTTTCCTTCCTTCCTGACTTCCTTCTTTCCTTCCCTCCTTCCTCCTATTTCTCTCTTACTCCTTCTGCCCTCTCTCTTTCCTATGCCTTAGGTGCATCCCACATTCTGCGTTTTTTTGAGGAAATCCTCGACAGGTGCAGGAAAATTGTGTTATTGTAACTATTTACCGTTATCTCTCTTTCACGGCTCTCCATCAGTTGTGAACATCTATTGGTTTATCCCAAGTCACTAAGCATATTTTCATTAGGTAAACCTGTTTTTCCTTATACAGCTGTTTCTGGAGTATAGGGTCGCATACTCATAAACCCAGTGTAACTCAGAAACGCATCTAATATTCCAGTAAACCCATCATAACGTTGAAAAATCATAAATCAAACCATCATAAGTCACGGTTTGTCCGTGGATATGGGCGTCATCAATTCCATTGTATTCAGTAATGCTGTACACCATTAACAATGGCAGACTGATTGGGAGTGGATATTGATAGCATTATAAATGTCAGTTATTAGAGGGATACTTCTTTAACCTGACTGAAGAACTGATCTAATGGCTTTAGTACAGTGCATGATCATGTGCGATGTTTTGAGACAGAGTAGTACATTTGTGAATGAAATTTTATGGCTTTTTTTTCACTTAGTAGGAACCATTGTGTGTGGAAAAGTGAGAAAATGGCTTTCTGCTGTAGGGTCTGGTATTCATTGTAGATGTAAGCTTATTTTTCTGTGAGCAAATCTTATTCAATAAAATACTACTCTTTATACTAAAAAACAAAAACAGTGGTGATGTGTGGTCATTACCCTCAGCAAACTTATCCAGGGAAAAGAAAACCAAACGCCACAACTCACTTATAATGGGAGCTGAAAAATGAGATCCCATGGACACAGGAAGGGGAACAACACACACTGGGGCCTTCCGGGAGACAGAGCGTTAAGAAAAACAGCTACTGCATGCTGGGCCTAATACCTAGGTGATGGGTTGACAGGTGCAGCAAACCACCATGGCACACGTTTACCTTAGTAACAAATCTGCACATCCTGCACATATACCCCAGAACTTAGGAACGAAACGAAACAAAAGACAACGAAAAAGCAACAGCAAAACGCTAAAGGCAAAATAAAGTTTCAAACTGAGAAAGTGACAGACCAACGTCTGGTTCAAATCATTGTTCTCAACCCAGGAGCCATAAGGTCAGGATAAAGGATGTGATTACATATTGTCAATAAGACATGCAGCAAATGACCAGAATGATTATTCTCAACATATGTGTGTCTTCTAATTCAATGGTGACGCTATCTACCGGGACATAGCATTAGATTCCAAAGGGCCGAGTCCCGCCAGACAGGCCTCCCACACTAATAACAATGGGAAGCCCTACGTTGCTTTACCTGTGCTTCTCAGCCACTGGCTATAAATCAGGTTGCCACCACTCCCAGATTTAGTTGCATTCATTTGCTGGAAGAGCTCACAGCACGCAGGGAAACACTTACATTTGCGGTTGTATTTTAGCGGACATTGCACAAAGTTCAGAAATAAATGTGGGCCCCGGCACGTGGGGAGGGGCGCACTACCTTCCAGGAAGTGCTATCCAGAAGCTCTCTGAACCCAGTCCTTTTGGGTTTTGATGGAGACCTCATTCTATAGGCATGATGGGTTAAACCATAGGCTATTGGTGATCAACTCCACCTGGGGCTCTCCACCCTCCCTGGAAATTGGGGTTGAGGCTTTGCCATTCTCAGTCTGACTAAAAGAATTTACCCAAACGGAATTTTAAAACAGATGAGCATAACTGGAATCTTAATTAGATGATTGGATTATCTGGAGCCACACCTTGATATTCCTAACCCGAGCACCCTCATCCAACGAATGCTCCACCCAACTGGCTCCCAAGTCTCTACGTGGTTCCAGAGCAAAAGGATGTTGATACAACGCATATCTCCACCTTTTCTTCAAAGTCTTTTCGCTTACACGGTAAGACTTCTTCAACTGTCATGCATCAGGGTCAGGGGGAGGTCTTGTTACAACACAGATCTGCAGATCTCCGTCGTTTGACTGTGGCAAGGATGCTGCTGGTGTCAAAACCACAACGTGGGAACCACAGAACCACTAGTGGGTTTTCAGTGTTTCAGTGCATACAATTCCTAATATATCTGGCTAAGAAAACTTGTAAGTTCTTAGATTGTCTCAAAGGTGGCGCATGAAATCAAAGCAGGAGAACAGTTTCCTACGAGGTGTAGCCTGGGAAAGTTGGGGGTGACTGATGGAAAGGAGGAGTGAAGATCCACCCTTTCCGCTGCTAGGCTGCGCCCGAGGCTATTTAAACCCACCCTGGCTGGCCTGTACTCAGATCTTCGCGGAGCGGATCAGCGGCCGGAGCGTTTGGCGGACTCTGCGTGGATTTGGAGCTCACAGCGTCTTGCGACTTGGAAGCGGGTTCAGAGGACAGGACAGAACACTTGGGCAAGTGAATCTCTGTCTGTCTGTCTGTCTGTCTGTCTGTCTGTCTGTCTGTCTCATTGGTTGGTTGATTTCCATTTTCTTAAGGGGCACATACCTCACACCGCACACACACAAACACACACACGCACACACACACGCACACGCACACGCACACACACGCACACACACTCCTTCCTTCTGCGAGTTAGAACATTAGTAGGGGCCCCTGGGAGCTGCAGGTTTCCTAATCATGTCTGCACCTAAGAACAGTAGGGTCTTGTCTGGCTCTTCTTATGAACGGTCCCCCAGCACGGACACCCCAAGGTCCATGCGAGCCTCACCCAGCTTCTCCCTCTCCCCTCTCAGAAACTCAGGCTTAAGGGGAAGCTCCTCACCAGGGATCCGGAGCTACCATTCACCATCCCCTAGGGCTTCACCACACTCACCTCTGTCATCACCAGAATCCCACAAGCTCCCATTTCCCTGTCCTCACCGTGATGGGCAATCAATGAAGCCATTGGGCTCTCCCGTGTCCTCCTCTGAGGATTCCTCAGAGTCCCCACGTTCATCAATAATATACCACATGTTCTTACTGCCATCACCCAGCAGCTCACCCCCAGCTCTCGGGGGGTCTCCTGTGTCTCCCAGCTACTCTCCAAACAACCCCAGATTTCAGCTGGAGTCAGCCCCCCACACCCAGGAATCACCTACAGTCTCACGAGCCTCACTTTGCTCCACCCCTGCGTCTTTCATCTCTTCACCCCCAGGCCTCAGGGACTCTCCTGTGGCTCCCAGTTACTCTCCAGCCATCCCCAGGTTCCTGCGGGAGTCAGCCCCATGCAACCAGGAGTCCCCCAGAGACTCACAGGTCTCGGGAGATTATGAGCGGTCCCCCAGCCCTGACTCCTCAATATTCATGCCTGCCTCACCCAGCTTCTCCCTCTCCCCTCCCAGAAACTCAGACCCAAGGGGCAGCTCCTCACCAGGGATGTGGAAGTCCTCTACATCATCCCGCAGGGCTTCACCACTCTCACATCCGTCATCAACAGAATTCCACAACTTTACGTTTCCCATTCCTAACCAAGCAGGACAGTCACTCATGTCATTGTGTTCTCCCGTGACCTCCTCTGGAGATTCTTCACAGTCACCTCATTCATCAATAATATACCATATGTTCTTACTGCCATCATCCAGCAGCTCACCCCCAGCCACCCATGACTCTCCTGTCTGTCCCAGATACTCTCCAACTACGCCCAGATTTCAGTGGGAGTCTGTACCCCACACCCCAGAAACACCTACAAACTCACAGACCTCAGTGAGATCCTCGCCAGTCTCTCTCACGTCTTCACCCCCAGCCCTTACGGACCCTCCAGTCTGTCCCAGCTACTCTCCAACCACGCCCACATTTCAGCGCGGGTCAGTTCCAGGAACCCAGGGATCACCACCAAGCCCACCGCTTTCACTGAGTTACTCCCCAGTCTCTAGCACGTCTTTATCTCCAACCCTCAGGGACTCGCCTGTCTGTCCCAGCTACTCTCCAAACACGCCCACACTTCAGCGGGAGTCCGTTGCAGGCACCCAGAAGTCACCACCAAACTCACCAATTTCACTGCGTTACTCCCCAGTCTCTCTCATGTCTCCACCATCCCTCAGGGACTCTCCCGTCTGTCCCAGCAACTCTCCAACCACGCCCACATTTCAGCTGGAGTCAGTTCCAGGCACCCCGGAATCACCACCAAACTCACCAATTTCACTCAGTTACTCCTCAGTCTCTAGCACGTCTTTATCTCCAACCCTCAGGGACTCTCCTGTCTTTCCCAGCTACTCTCCAACCACGCCCACACTTCAGCGGGCGTCAGTTCCAGGCACCCAGATATCACCACCAAACTCACCAATTTCACTCAATTACTCTCCAGTCTCTCTCGTGTCTTCACCAGCCCTCAGGGACTCTCCTGTCTGTCCCAGCTACTCTCCAACCACGCCCACATTTCAGCTGGAGTCAGTTCCAGGCACCCCGGAGTCACCACCAAACTCACCAGTTTCACTCAGTTACTCCCCGGTCTCTCTCATGTCTTCACCCCCAGCCCTCGGGGACTCTCCTGTGCGTCCCAGCTACTCTCCAACCATGCCCAGATTTCAGCGGGAGTCAGTTCCAGGCACCCATGTATCACCACCAAACTCAGCAGTTTCACTGAGTTACTCCCCAGTCTCTCTCAGGTCTTCACCCCCAGACCCCTGGGACTCTCCTGTCTGTCCCAGCTACTCTCCCACCACGCCCAGATTTCAGCAGGAGTCAGCCTTCCACACTCCGGAATCAGATACAGACTCACAGACTTCACTGAGCTCCTCCCTGGTCTCTCTCAGGTCTTTGCCCTCATCCCACAGGGACTCTTGTGTCTCTTTCAGCTACTCTCAAAACTTCTCTAGATTCCAGCTGGAGTCAGTTCCAGGCACCCACGATACACCACCGAACTCACGAATTTCACTGACTTACTCCCCTGTCTCCCTCATGTTCTCACCCCCAGCCCTCAGGGACTCTTCTGTCTCTCTCAGCTACTCTCCAACCATCTCCAGATTTCACCTGGAGTCAGCTTCCCACACCCTGGAATCACCTGCAAACTCACGGACCTTACTGCAACCATCCCCCATTTCTTTCACCTCTTCACCCCCTGCCTTCAGGGACTCTCCTGGGTCTCCCAGCTTCTCTCCAGCCTTCCCCAGATTTCTGCCACAGTCAGCCCCAGGCACCCAGGACAACCCTAGACACTCACAGGCCTCACCGGACTATCTCCCTATGACCTGTACCTATACAGTGATGGCTCCCACGCATCCCTCAGTGACCCCAAACCCATCTCCACTTACACTCAGGCACTCCCAGGGCCTGACAGCTACTCCCCGTTATTGTCCTTCAGTTCGAAGCCCTGGCCAATCTACTAGCCCACATGACGCAGTTACCTGGCCATTTCTCCACGGTTCCCGGGAGGGCCCCACACCCAGCCGCACAAGAGCCCCTCCTGCATTCCGTCCTCACACACAGGCCTGTCCATCTACTTGCTACTGTCACACTCTTGCCAGCAGAAGAGGCCCCTGTAATGGCCGATATCACCACCCAGTCTATCCTCACCCCACAGCTGTGCAGCGGGAACCCCCTGCTGGCCCACGTGGCTGCCACAGCCCATGCTGGCATGACGCTCCAGCAGGTCGGCGTCCCTGCGGGCCAAACTACCGGTGACATGTCTAGCGTGACCCTCCTTCCTGGCAGTGACACTGTTGATGTGAACCCCAATTTCACATCTGTCATTTGTAAATAGGACCATTTTCCTTTTCGCTCTCCCTTCCATTCACAGGGCTTTTCATTCTCTCTGTTACTGCCTCCGTTTCAGATATTTACTCACCTTTTTCTCTCTCACTATGTCTGCCGTGGTCTCCATGAGAGTGCGCCACATAAGATTCCCCCATTAAAAGTCATGAATTGAGTGGCTTTTACTATACCTGTGGTTGTGCACATTCAAATTTAATTCGCAATTCATTGTAGAACGTCTTATCACTCCCGGCCGGAGAAAAACCCTGTAGACATTAGTCACTCCTCTTTCTGTCTCAAACCCTCTCCCTGGCCCTCAGCCCTAGGTAGCAACTACCTAGTGCGATCAATCCCATATGCATAGATTACCATATTGTGGACATTTCCTATAAGCGGAATTGCACAATAGGTGAGCTGTTATGACTGACATAACACGTAGCACAATATTTTCAAGAATCGTCCACATTGTAGGCTTACCCACAGGGGGAAACCATTTTTTTGGGGGCTTTTAGTAACACCGCTGTTTTCTCCTTCCTTACGTCCTTCTTTCCTTCCTTCCTTCCTTCCTTCCTTCCTTCCTTCCTTCCTGACTTCCTTCTTTCCTTCCCTCCTTCCTCCTATTTCTCTCTTACTCCTTCTGCCCTCTCTCTTTCCTATGCCTTAGGTGCATCCCACATCCTGCGTTTTTTTGGGGAAATCCTCGACAGGTGCAGGAAAATTGTGTTATTGTAAATATTTAACGTTATCTCTCTTACACGGCTCTCCATCAGTTGTGAACATCTATTGGTTTATCCCAAGTCACTAAGCATATTTTCATTAGGTAAACCTGTTTTTCCTTATACAGCTGTTTCTGGAGTATAGGGTCGCATACTCATAAACCCAGTGTAACTCAGAAACGCATCTAATATTCCAGTAAACCCATCATAACGTTGAAAAATCATAAATCAAACCATCATAAGTCACGGTTTGTCCGTGGATATGGGCGTCATCAATTCCATTGTATTCAGTATTGCTGTACACCATTAACAATGGCAGACTGATTGGGAGTGGATATTGATAGCATTATAAAAGTCAGTTATTAGAGTGATACTTCTTTAACCTGACTGAGGAACTGATCTAATGGCTTTAGTACAGTGCATGATTATGTGCGATGTTTTGAGACAGAGTAGTACATTTGTGAATGAAATTTTATGGCTTTTTTTTCACTTAGTAGGAACCATTGTGTGTGGAAAAGTGAGAAAATGGCTTTCTGCTGTAGGGTCTGGCATTCATTGTAGATGTAAGCTTATTTTTCTGTGAGCAAATCTTATTCAATAAAATACTACTCTTTATACTAAAAAACAAAAATAGTGGTGATGTGTGGTCATTACCCTCAGCAAACTTATCCAGGGAAAAGAAAACCAAACGCCACAACTCACTTATAATGGGAGCTGAAAAATGAGATCCCATGGACACAGGAAGGGGAACAACACACACTGGGGCCTTCCGGGAGACAGAGCGTTAAGAAAAACGCCTACTGCATGCTGGGCCTAATACCTAGGTGATGGGTTGAGAGGTGCAGCAAACCACCATGGCACACGTTAACCTTAGTAACAAATCTGCACATCCTGCACATATACCCCAGAACTTAGGAACGAAACGAAACAAAAGACAACGAAAAAGCAACAGCAAAACGCTAAAGGCAAAATAAAGTTTCAAACTGAGAAAGTGACAGACCAACGTCTGGTTCAAATCATGGTTCTTAACCCAGGTGCCATAAGGTCAGGATAAAGGATGTGATTACATATTGTCAATAAGACATGCAGCAAATGACCAGAATGATTATTCTCAACATATGTGTGTCTTCTAATTCAATGGTGACGCTATCTACCGGGACATAGCATTAGATTCCAAAGGGCCCGGTCCCGCCAGACAGGCCTCCCACACTAATAACAATGGGAAGCCCTACGTTGCTTTACCTGTGCTTCTCAGCCACTGGCTATAAATCAGGTTGCCACCACTCCCAGATTTAGTTGCATTCATTTGCTGGAAGAGCTCACAGCACGCAGGGAAACACTTACATTTGCGGTTGTATTTTAGCGGACATTGCACAAAGTTCAGAAATAAATGTGGGGCCCGGCATGTGGGGAGGGGCGCACTACCTTCCAGGAAGTGCTATCCAGAAGCTCTCTGAACCCAGTCCTTTTGGGTTTTGATGGAGACCTCATTCTATAGGCATGATGGGTTAAACCATAGGCTATTGGTGATCAACTCCACCTGGGGCTCTCCACCCTCCCTGGAAATTGGGGTTGAGGCTTTGCCATCCTCAGTCTGACTAAAAGAATTTACCCAAACGGAATTTTAAAACAGATGAGCATAACTGGAATCTTAATTAGATGATTGGATTATCTGGAGCCACACCTTGATATTCCTAACCGGAGCACCCTCATCCAACGAATGCTCCACCCAACTGGCTCCCAAGTCTCTACGTGGTTCCAGAGCAAAAGGATGTTGATACAACGCATATCTCCACCTTTTCTTCAAAGTCTTTTCGCTTACACGGAAAGACTTCTTCAACTGCCATGCATCAGGGTCAGGGGGAGGTCTTGTTACAGCACAGATCTGCGGATCTCCGGCGTTTGACTGTGGCAAGGATGCTGCTGGTGTCAAAACCACAACGTGGGAACCACAGAACCACTAGTGGGTTTTCAGTGTTTCAGTGCATACAATTCCTAATATATCTGGCCAAGAAAACTTGTAAGTTCTTAGATTGTCCCAAAGGTGGCGCATGAAATCAAAGCAGGAGAACAGTTTCCTACGAGGTGTAGCCTGGGAAAGTTGGGAGTGACTGATGGAAAGGAGGAGTGAAGCTCCGCCCTTTCCGCTGCTAGGCTGCGCCCGAGGCTATTTAAACCCACCCTGGCTGGCCTGTACTCAGATCTTCGCGGAGCGGATCAGCGGCCGGAGCTTTTGGCGGACTCTGCGTGGACTTGGAGCTCACAGCGTCTTGCGACTTGGAAGCAGATTCAGAGGACAGGACAGAACACTTGGGCAAGTGAATCTCTGTCTGTCTGTCTGTCTGTCTGTCTGTCTCATTGGTTGGTTGATTTCCATTTTCTTAAGGGGCACATACCTCACAACGCACACACACAAACACACACACGCACACACACACGCACACGCACACGCACACACACGCACACACACTCCTTCCTTCTGCGAGTTAGAACATTAGTAGGGGCCCCTGGGAGCTGCAGGTTTCCTAATCATGTCTGCACCTAAGAACAGTAGGGTCTTGTCTGGCTCTTCTTATGAACGGTCCCCCAGCCCGGACTCCCCAAGGTCCAAGCGAGCCTCACCCAGCTTCTCCCTCTCCCCTCTCAGAAACTCAGGCTTAAGGGGAAGCTCCTCACCAGGGATCCGGAGCTACCATTCACCATCCCCTAGGGCTTCACCACACTCACCTCTGTCATCATCAGAATCCCACAAGCTCCCATTTCCCTGTCCTCACCGTGATGGGCAATCAATGAAGCCATTGGGCTTTCCCGTGTCCTCCTCTGAGGATTCCTCAGAGTCCCCACGTTCATCAATAATATACCACATGTTCTTACTGCCATCACCCAGCAGCTCACCCCCAGCTCTCGGGGGGTCTCCTGTGTCTCCCAGCTACTCTCCAAACAACCCCAGATTTCAGCTGGAGTCAGCCCCCCACACCCAGGAATCACCTACAAACTCACGAGCCTCACGGTGCTCCACCCCCGTGTCTTTCATCTCTTCACCCCCAGGCCTCAGGGACTCTCCTGTCGCTCCCAGTTACTCTCCAGCCATCCCCAGGTTCCTGCGGGAGTCAGCCCCATGCAACCAGGAGTCCCCCAGAGACTCACAGGTCTCGGGAGAATATGAGCGGTCCCCCAGCACTGACTCCTCAAGATTCATGCCTGCCTCACCCAGCTTCTCCCTCTCCCCTCCCAGAAACTCAGACCCAAGGGGCAGCTCCTCACCAGAGATGTGGAAGTCCTCTACATCATCTCGCAGGGCTTCACCACTCTCACATCCGTCATCAACAGAATTCCACAACTTTACGTTTCCCTTTCCTAACCAAGCAGGACAGTCACTCATGTCATTGTGTTCTCCCGTGACCTCCTCTGGAGATTCTTCACAGTCACCTCATTCATCAATAATATACCATATGTTCTTACTGCCATCATCCAGCAGCTCACCCCCAGCCACCCATGACTCTCCTGTCTGTCCCAGCTACTCTCCAACTACGCCCAGATTTCAGCGGGAGTCTGTACCCCACACCCCAGAAACACCTACAAACTCACAGACCTCAGTGAGATCCTCGCCAGTCTCTCTCACGTCTTCATTCCCAGCCCTTACGGACCCTCCAGTCTGTCCCAGCTACTCTCCAACCACGCCCACATTTCAGCGCGGGTCAGTTCCAGGAACCCAGGGATCACCACCAAGCCCACCGCTTTCACTGAGTTACTCCCCAGTCTCTAGCACGTCTTTATCTCCAACCCTCAGGGACTCGCCTGTCTGTCCCAGCTACTCTCCAAACACGCCCACACTTCAGCGGGAGTCCGTTGCAGGCACCCAGAAGTCACCACCAAACTCACCAATTTCACTGCGTTACTCCCCAGTCTCTCTCATGTCTTCACCATCCCTCAGGGACTCTCCCGTCTGTCCCAGCTACTCTCCAACCACGCCCACATTTCAGCTGGAGTCAGTTCCAGGCACCCCGGAATCACCACCAAACTCACCAATTTCACTCAGTTACTCCTCAGTCTCTAGCACGTCTTTATCTCCAACCCTCAGGGACTCTCCTGTGTGTCCCAGCTACTCTCCAATCACACCCCCACTTCAGCGGGCGTCAGTTCCAGGCACCCAGGAATCACCACCAAACTCACCAATTTCACTCAATTACTCTCCAGTCTCTCTCGTGTCTTCACCAGCCCTCAGGGACTCTCCTGTCTGTTCCAGCTACTCTCCAACCACGCCCACATTTCAGCGGGAGTCAGTTCCAGGCACCCATGTATCACCACCAAACTCAGCAGTTTCACTGAGTTACTCCCCAGTCTCTCTCATGTCTTCACCCCCAGACCCCTGGGACTCTCCTGTCTGTCCCAGCTACTCTCCCACCACGCCCAGATTTCAGCGGGAGTCAGCCTCCCACACTCCGGAATCAGATACAGACTCACAGACTTCACTGAGCTCCTCCCTGTTCTCTCTCATGTCTTTGCCCTCATCCCACAGGGACTCTTGTGTCTCTTTCAGCTACTCTCAAAACTTCTCTAGATTCCAGCTGGAGTCAGTTCCAGGCACCCACGATACACCACAGAACTCACGAATTTCACTGACTTACTCCCCTGTCTCCCTCATGTTCTCACCCCCAGCCCTCAGGGGCTCTTTTGTCTCTCTCAGCTACTCTCCATCCATCTCCAGATTTCACCTGGAGTCAGCTTCCCACACCCTGGAATCACCTGCAAACTCACGGACCTTACTGCAACCATCCCCCATTTCTTTCACCTCTTCACCCCCTGCCTTCAGGGACTCTCCTGGGTCTCCCAGCTTCTCTCCAGCCTTCCCCAGATTTCTGCCACAGTCAGCCCCAGGCACCCAGGACAACCCTAGACACTCACAGGCCTCACCAGACTATCTCCCTATGACCTGTACCTATACAGGGATGGCTCCCACGCATCCCTCAGTGACCCCAAACCCATCTCCACTTACACTCAGGCACTCCCAGGGCCTGACAGTTACTCCCCGTTATTGTCCTTCAGTTCGAAGCCCTGGCCAATCTACTAGCCCACATGATGCAGTTACGTGGCCATCTCTCCACGGTTCCTGGGAGGGCCCCACACCCAGCCGCACAAGAGCCCCTCCTGCATTCCGTCCTCACACGCAGGCCTGTCCATCTACTTGCTACTGTCACACTCTTGCCAGCAGAAGAGGCCCCTGTAATGGCCGATATCACCACCCAGTCTATCCTCACCCCACAGCTGTGCAGCGGGAAGCCCCTGCTGGCCCACGTGGCTGCCACAGCCCATGCTGGCACGACGCTCCAGCAGGTCGGCGTCCCTGCGGGCCAAACTACCGGTGACATGTCTAGCGTGACCCTCCTTCCTGGCAGTGACACTGTTGATGTGAACCCCAATTTCACATCTGTCATTTATAAATAGGACCATTTTCCCTTTTCGCTCTCCCTTCCATTCACAGGGCTTTTCATTCTCTCTGTTACTGCCTCCGTTTCAGATATTTACTCACCTTTTTCTCTCTCACTATGTCTGCCGTGGTCTCCATGAGAGTGCGCCACATAAGATTCCCCCATTAAAAGTCATGAATTGAGTGGCTTTTAGTATACCTGTGGTTGTGCACATTCAAATTTAATTCGCAATTCATTGTAGAACGTCTTATCACTCCCGGCCAGAGAAAAACCCTGTAGATATTTGTCACTCCTCATTCTGTCTCAAACCCTCAGGGCCTGATGGGAAGGCACTTCGTCTGTAGGGTCCCATGCCGTGCTTCTCCGTGGCGCAGTTTTTCTTTTTTTCCTGCCATAGATGCCTCACCTCTCCTTCCTCAAATCTCACCTTCCCCTCATTGGCCTTCTGTCTTTTTTGGGGTACACCTAGCCGCCCGAGGTGCACTGTGGCCTCGAACCAGGGACTCCAGGATCCCTGAGGCCTAGCGCAAGTCCTGATGGGAAGACACTTTCGTCCGTTTGGAGGTTCCAGTCCCCGCTTCTCCGCAGCTGGGTTTTTTTTTTCTCTGCGCCAGGTGCCTCACCTTCCTCTCTTGTGCCTTCTGCACGGTTTGGGGTACCCCTAGCGGCCCGAGGCACACCCTGGGCTCGAACCATGGAATCCAGGTTCCAAAGGGCCAAGCGCAGTGGCTGATGGGAAGATACTGTCTTCCTTGGGGACCCAGGCTCTGCTTCTCTGTGGCGTTTTTTTTTTTTTCTTTTCCCCAGGTGCCTCACTTTCCCGTCATTGGCTTTCTGCCCGCCTTGAGGTACCCCTAGCCGGCCTGAGGCGCAGCCTTGTTTTGAGCCAGGTATGCTAGGGTCTCCGGGGCCCACTGCAGGGCTTATGGGTAGGGACGTTCATCCATGGGGGACGGAGGCCCCACTTCTGGGCGGCGCAGTTTCTTATTTTCTTCTCTTCCGCAGGTGTCTCACCTTTCCCTCATGGGCCTTCTGTCTGTCTTGGGGTACCCCTAGCAGGCCGAGGCGCACGCTGGGCTCGAGCCAGGGATTCCAGGCTCCCCGGGGCGCAGTGCAAGCGCTGATGGGAAGACAGTTTCTTCTGTGGGGGACCCAAGCCCCGCTTATCCGCGGCACGGTTGTTGTTTTTTTTTTTCTCTGCCCCATGTGCGTCACCTTCCCCTCATGGGCCTTCTGCCCGCTTTTGGGTACCCCTAGCGGCCTGAAGCGCACCCTGGTCTCGAACCAGTAATGCCAGGGTCCCCTGGGCCCAGCGCAAGGGCTGATGGGAAGACACTTTCGTCCGTTGGGGACCCAGGCTCCGCTTCTCCGTGGTGCAGTTTTTTTTTTTCTGCCACAGGTGCCTCACCTCTCCTTCCTCAAACCTCAACTGCCCCTCATGGGATTTCTGCCCGCCTTGTGGTACCCCTAGCGGGCCCGAGGCACACCCGGGGCCTGAACCGGTTCTCCAGCGTCCACAAGGCCCAGCGCAGTGACTGATGGGAAGGCATTTTCATCCTTGGGGTACCCAGGCCCAGCTTCTCCTAGGCGCGGCTTGTTTTCTTTTTTTTTTTCTGCCACAGGTTCCTCACCTCTCCTCCCTCAAACGTCAACTTCCGATCATGGGCTTTCTGCTCGACTTGGGATACCCCTAGCGGCCCAAGGCGCTCCCTGGACTCGAACCATGGATGCCAGGGTCGCCGGGGCCTAGCGCAGGGGCTGATGGGAAGGTACCTTCATCCGTGGGTACCCAGGCCCCGCTTCTCAAAGCTGCGTTTTTTTTTCTCCACCCCGGGTGCCTCACCTTCCCCTCACTGGCCTTCTGCCTGCTTTGGGGTACCATGAGCAGGCCCGAGGCGCTCCCGGGTCTCCAATCAGGTTCGCCAGGTTCTCGGCGCTAGCGCAGGGGCTGATGGGAAGGCACTTTCATCAGTGGGGACCCAGGCCCGGCTTCTCCGAGGTGCTGATATATATATATATGTATTTTTTTCTGCCACAGGTGACTCACCTCTCCTCCCTTAAATCTCTCCTTCCCCTCATGGGCTTTCTGGCTTCCTTAGGGTACCCTAGCATGCCAGAGTCTCTTCTGGTCCTTGAACTAGGGTCGCCAGAGTCCAGGGGGCCCAGTGCAGGGGCTGATGAGAAGGCACTTTCGTCCGTGGGAGACCCAGGCCCCGCTTCTCTTCCACACGTTTTTTTTTTTTTTTTTCTGCCGCAGGTGCCTCACCTCTCTTCCCTCAAACTTCACCTTCCCCTCAAGGGACTTCTGCCCTCTTTGGGGTACACCTAGCTGGCCCGAGGTGCACCCAGGCCTAGAACCAGGGTCGCCTGGGTCCACAGGGCCCAGCTCAGGGACTGATGGGAACCACTTTCTTTCCATGGGAGACCCAGGCCCCACTTCTCTGTGGCGCGGTTTCTTTTTCTTTTCTGCCACAAGTGCCTCACCTCTCCACCCTCACAGCTCACCTTCCTCTCATGGGCTTTCCACCGCGTTGGGGTACCCCTAGTGGCCCGAGGCTCTCCCTGAGCTCGAACCAGGGACTCTAGGTTCCCTGGGGCCCAGTGCAGGGGCTGATGGGAAGACACTTTCATCCGTGGGGTACCCAGACCCCACCTCTCCGTGGCGCGGGTTTCTTTTTTTACTTTTTCTGTGACAGGTGCCTCACCTCTCCTCCCTCAAAACTCACCTTCCCCTCACGGGCTTTGTGTCCCCAAAGCCCCCCTTGGGGTGCACTTGGCGGCCGAGGCACACCCTGAGCTCGAACGAGGGACACCAGGGTCCCTGGGTCCCAGTGCAGGGACTGATGGGAAGACACTTTCGTCTGTGGGGCACCCAGGCCGTGCTTCTCCGCAGCGAAGTTTTTCTTTTTTTCTCTGCCCCAGGTGCCTCACCTTCTCCTTAGGGGCTTTCTGCCCACCTTGGGGTACCCCTACTGTCCTGAGGCATACCCCATGGTCAAACCAGGGATGCCAGGGTCCCCAGGGCCCAGCAAAGGGGCTGATGGGATGGCACTTTCATCCGTGGGGGGCCCAGGCACTGCTTCTCGGCTGAGCGTTTTTTTTTCTCTGCCTCAGGTGCCTCACCTTCCCCTCATGGACCTTTTGTTCGCTTTGTGGTACCCCAAGCTGACCCGAGGCACACCCTGGGCTCAAACCAGGGTCGTCAGGGTCCACCAGGCCCAGCATAGGGCCTGATGGGAAGGCACTTTCATCCGTGGGGGACCCAGGTCCCGCTTCTCTGAGACGCGGTCCTCTTTTTTTTTTTTCTGCCCCTGGTGCCTCACCTCTCCTCCCACAAACTTCAACTTCCACTCATGGGCCTTCTGTCCAAGTTGGGGTACCCCTAGTCGCCTGAGGCACACACTGGGCGTGAACCAGGGATGCCAGGGTCCCTGGGGCCCAGCGCAAGGGCTGATGGGAAAAAACTTTCATCCCTGGATGACCCAGACACCGCTTCGCGGCGCATTTTTTTTTCTTCTTTGCCCCAGGTGTCTCACCTTCCCCTCATGGGCCTTCTGCCTCTCTGCGCCTTTCGCCAGCGCTGTGGGCCTCTCTGCACCTGCGCCGGCGCTGTGCGCCTTTGCGAGGGCGGAGCTGCGTTCTTCCCAGCACAGACAAGGAGAGCATCGCCAGGGCGGAGCTGAGTTCTCCTCTGCACAGACTTCAGAGATACAGCGAAGGCGGAGCAGTGTTCTCCTCAGCACAGACCCAGGCGGGCCGGGGGCACTGCGAGGGCGGAGCTGCGTTCAGCTCAGCACAGACCCGGGGGACACCGCTAAGGCAGAGCAGCGTTCTCAGCACAGACCTTTGGGGCACTGCCTCGCTTTGGGACAACTCGGGACCGCATAGACGGTGAATAAAATCCTTCCCTTTTGCAGCCCTGAATAATCAGGGTCAGAGACCAGTTAGAAGGGCTCAGTGTGGAAAAGGGAAGCCAAAAGCCCCTCTGAATCCTACCCACCGAGGTTCTCCCCAGCCAAGCCGAGGCGGCCGCAGTGCGAGATCCACACCGCAGCCTCGGAAGACAAATGCAGCATTCCTAATGCAGACATGACACCCAAAATATGACACCCCCATTGCTCATGTAACAAGCACCTGTAATGCTAATGCACTGCCTCAATACAAAAATATTAATATAAGATCCGCAATCCCCTTGCTGCCATGCAGTCCTAAGACAGAGATCATAATAATCAACATTGACATAGTACAAACGTAGTAACGAACCTAGGGTTAAGGTTGGTGTTAGGGTTAGGGGTTAGGGGTTAAGTTTAGGGTTAGGGGTTGGAGATAGGGGTTGGGGTCAGAGTTAAGAGTTAAGAGTCAACGTTTAGAGTTAGAGGTTAGGAGAGGTTAGGGGTTAGGGATAAGGGGTTAGGGTTGGATTAGTGTGAGGGTGAGGGTTGGGGTTAGGGGTTAGGCTTAGGGTTTACGGTTAAGGGTTAGGGTTAGGGTCAGGGGTTAGGGGTCAGGGTCAGGGGTTAAGGATCAGGGACAGGGGTCAGGGTCAGTTTCAGGGGTCCCACTCTTTGAGTTGTCCATTTACTCTGCTGACAGTTCCCTTTGCCATGAAAAAGCTGTTTAGTTTAATTAAGTCCCAGCTATTTATCTTTGTTTTTATTGCATTTGCATTTGGGTTCTTGGTCATGAAATCCTTGCGTATGTCAATGTCTAGAAGGGTTTATCCAGTGTTCTCTTCTAGAATTTTTATAGTTCAGGAATTAGATTTAAGTTCTTAATCCATCTTGAGTAGATTTTTGTATAAGATGAGAGATGAGAATCCATTTTTATTCCCCTACATGTGGCTCGCCAATTATCCCAACAGCATGTGTTGAAAAGGGGGTCCTTTCCCCACTTTATGTTTTTGTTTGCTTTGTCGAAGATCAGTTGGCTGTAAGTATTTGGGTTAATTTCTGGGTTCTCTCTTCTGTTCCATTGGTCTATGTTCCTATTTTTAAACCAGTACGTTGGTGTTTTGGTAACTATGGCCTTATTGTACAGTTTGAAATCAAGTAGTGTGATACCTCCAGGTTCTTTTTGCTTAGGCTTGGTTTGGTTACATGGCTCTTTTTTGGTTCCATATTAATTTTAGAATTGTTTTTGTAATTCTGTGAAGAATGATGGTGGCATTCAGATGGGGATTGCATTGAATTTGTAGATTGCCTTTAACAGAATGGTAATTTTCACAATATTGGTTCTACCCATCCATGAGCATGGGGATGCGTTTCCATTTGTGTGTGTCATCTATGATTTCTTTTCTTTCGTTTTTTTTTTTTTTTTTTTCCAGAGGGAGTTTCGCTCTTGTCGCTGAGGTGGGAGTGCAATGGTGTGATCTCGGCTCACTACAACTTCTGCCTCCCGGGTTGAAGCGATTCTCCTGCCTCAGCTTCCCGAGTAGCTCGGATTATAGGCATGTGCCACCGTGCTTGGCTCCATCTATGATTTCTTTCAGTAGTGTTTTGTAATTTTCATTGTAGCTGTCCTTTGATTTCTTTGCTAGGTATATTCCTAAGTTTTGTTTTTTTTGTTGTTGTTGTTTGTCGCAGCTATTGTAAAAGGGGTTGAGTTCTTGATGTGATTCTCTGCTTGGTAGCTGTTGATGTATGGAAGAGCTACTGATTTGTGTCCATTAATCTTGTATCTGGAAACTTTGCTGAATTGTTTTATCAGTTCTAGGAGGTTTCTAGAGGAGTCCGTAGGGTTTTCTAGGCAAAAGATTATATCATCAGCAACAAGTGACAGTTTGACTTCCTCTTTACAGATTTGGATTTCCTCTATTTCCTTCTTTTGTCTGATTGCTCTGGCTAGGACTTCCAGTACTATGTTGAAGAGGAGTGGTGAGAGTAGGCTCCTCATCTTGTTCCAGTTCTCAAAGGGAATGCTTTCACCGTTTCCCCATTCAGTATTATGTTGGCTGTGGGTTTGTCATAGATGGCTTTTATTACATTAAGGTATGTCGCTTGTATGCCTATTTTGCTGAGAGCTTTAATCATAAAGCAATGCTAGATTTTGTCAAATGTTTTTTTCTGCGCCTGTTGATATAATTATATTAGATTTTTTTAATTCTGTTTATTTGGTGTATCACACTTATTGACTTGCATATGTGAAACCACTCCTATATCATTGGTATAAAACCCACTTGATCATGCTGGATTATTTTTTGATATGTTGTCGGATTCAGTTAGATAGTATTTTGTTAAGGATTTTGGCATCTGCATTCATCAAGGATATTGGTCTGTAGTTTTCTTTTTTGGTTATGTCCTTCCATGGTTTTGGTATTAGAGTGATGCTGGCTTCATAGAATGAATAAGGGAGGGTTTCTTCTTTCTCTGTTTTGTGGAATAGTATGAAAAAATTGGTATCATTTCTTCCTTGAATGAAAGAAGACATTCTTTGAATGTCTGGTAGAATTCTGCTGTGAATCTGTCTGGCCCTCAGCTTTTTTTGCTGGTAATTTTAAAATTACCATTTCAATCTTGCTGCTTGCTTTATTGGTCTGCTTGGGGTATCTAATTCTTCCTGATTTAAGCTAGGAGAGTTGTATTTTTCCAGGAATTTATCCAACTCTTCTAGGTTTTGTAGTTTATGTGCCAAAAGGTGTTCATAGTACCCTTGAATAATCTTTAATATTTCAGTGGTGTTAGTTGTAATATCCCGTTTCATTTCTTAGTGAGGTTATTTGGATTTTCTCTCTTCTTTTCTTGGTTAATCTTGCTAATGATCTATCAATTTTACTTATCTTTTCAAATAAGCAACTTTTTGTTTTATTTATGTTTTGTATTTGTTGTTGTTGTTGTTGTCGTTGTGTCAATTTCATTTAGTTCTGCTCTGATCTTTGTTATTTCCTGTGTTTGCTGGGATTGGGTTTGGCTTGTTCCTGCTTCTCTAGTTCCCTGAGATGTGAACTTAGATTGTCTGTTTGTGCTCTTTCAGACTTTTTGATGTAGGTTTTTAGGACTACAAACTTTGCTCTTAGCAGTGCCTTTGCTGTATCCCAGAGGTCTTGATAGGTTGTGTCATCCAGTTCGAAGAAATTTTTTACATTTCCATCTTGATTTCATTTTTCACCCAATGCTCATTCTGTGAGGAACAACCAAATTGTTTTCCGCAGCAAGGGCATCATTTTCTATTCCTAGCAGCCAGATCATGAGGACTCCAACTTCTCCACCTCCTTAGCAACATTTATTTTCTGTGTCATTGTTATGAAAGCCTTACTTGTGGATGCAGAGTGGCATGAATGAAGTCAATTAACACGTTTATTACCTCACAGAATAGTCACCTTTTTGTGTGCATGGGTGGGATAAGAAAACTTAACTCTATCCCCTGTGACGGAATAGTGGCCATTCCAGCTGCTCCAGGCTCCAGCAGAGGAAGACCGGGGTATGTGGCCCCACCAGGGTGACCCTCAGGCCTGGCGCGCACGCATTCCAGAGGCCACCCAAACCATGCTCCGCCATCTGGGCGCCCAAGCTGCCGTCGCCCTCTGTGTGCAGGCAGCAGCTGCCTGGCAACCCCTGAGCCCGCTCGCGCTCCTAGCATCACAGAAGCAGGGCCACGTGTCCCAGTGGCTGCAGCCAAGCCAGGCATTCTGCCCTGCGACAGCAGCTGCACAGGAGCGAGAACTGAGAACCCACCGCTCAACCCCACACGAGGTGACTGCCGAGTGCCCATACAAACGGCTCCGATCTCCCTCAGGTGGAGGAGTGGGCGGGAGGCACGGCCTGGGGGCCCTCAGGCTGGGCGCGCTGGCGATCCCAAGGCCGACCAGGCCATGCACCTCCAGCCCGCCTGGGCACCCGAGCTGCAGCCGCCTTCTGCGTGCAGGCAGCAGCCTCCAGGCAACTCCCGAGCCCGCCCACACTCCCCACATCTCGGAAGCAGGGCCAAATGTCCCTGTGGCTGTGGCCAAGCCAGGCGGTCTCTCCTGCAGCAGCTGCACAGGGGCGGGAACCGGCCCTCAGCCCCATTCCCGGTGGCTGTAGAGGGCCCCTGGATAGAGATCTGGAGCTCTGACAGAGGAGGAGCCGGGCCGGGGCAGGGTCTGGCAGGCTCTCAGGCCAGGGGCACCTGTGATCCAGAGGCGGCCCAGGGCATGCTCCACCACCTGTGCACCCAGCTACAGGCGCCGGACGACTCCCAAGCTGGCTGCCACGCCCAGCCTCGCAGAACCGAGGCTAGATGTCGCCGTGGCTGCGACCAAGCCAGGCGGTCTTCCCAGGGGTGGCTGCACCGGGGCAGGAACCGACCCTCAGCCCCATCCCCGGTGGCTGCAGACGGACCCTGGGGCGGCCCCGATCTCTCTTCGGAGGAGGAGAGGGGCGGGAGTCACGGCCAGGCGGGCCCTCAGGCGGGAAGGAATGCGCGCCTGCGATTCCGGGACGTCCCGCGCCAGCCCAGGAAAACCCGCAAGCCAGCGACGCCTGTTTCTCTGTGTGATTCTTTGAGGAACCACCAAACTGTTTTCCACAGCAAGTGCATCATTTTCTATTCCTAGCAGCCAGTTCATGAGGGCTCCAGTTTCTCCACCTCCTTAGCAACATTGATTTTCTGTGTCGTTGTTATGAAAGCCTTACTAGTGGATGCAAAGTGGCATCTCATTTGGGTTTTGCCTTGCATTTTATTAATGAATAATGGTGTTTAGCATCTTTTCTTTTCCTTCTTAGACATTTGTGTATCTTCTTTGGAGAAACGTCTGTTCAAGTCCTTTGCCTATTTTTTAATTGGGATCTTAGAAATTCTGTTGTTGAGTTGTGGGATATTAAGCTTTTATCAGATACACATTTTGATTTTATCAGATACATATTTTCTCACATATTATGGGTTGTCTTTTCACTCCCTTGATAGTATCCTTTGATGCATAAAGGGTTTTTTATTTTGATTAAATCTAATTTTCGTGTATTTTCTTTTGTTATCTGTGCTTTTCTGTCATATTTCAAAATACACTTAAAACTCAAAGGTCATAAAGGTTTACCGTGTGTTTTCTTCTAAGAGTTACATATTTTTAGTCCTTACATTTAAGTCTTTTATTAATTTAGAATTAATTTTTGTATATACTGCAATGTAGGGGTCTAACTTCTCTCTTGTGCACTGATATCCAGCTGTTGAAGAAACTGTTCTTTCCTCCCTTGACTAGACTTGGCCACCTTGTTGAACAGTCATTGACCATATATGTGAGGACTAACTTGTAGGATCTCAAATCTGTTCTGTTGTATTGGTCTGAAAGTCTATTGGTCTTATTCCAGTACCACACTCTCTTGATTACTGTAGATTTGTAGTAGGCTGTGAAACTGAAAAATGTGAGTTTTCCAATGTTCTTTTTCAAGACTGTTTTGTCTGTCAGATCCTTTGAATTTTTGTATGATTTTAGAATGAGTTTCTTTGTTTCTGCAAAAATGCCTTTGGGATTTTGATGGTATTGCATTGAATCTGTAGATTACTTTAGATGGTATTGTCATCTTAACAATATTGTCTTACAACCCGTGAACACAGAATGTCTTTCCACTTATTTCCACTCTCTTTAGTTTTTTGCAGCAATGTTTTGTGTATACCACCATGGTTAGATTTATGCCTCAATAACGTATTCTTTGGTGTCATTATAAATGGAATTTTTAAAATGTTTTCATAGTTCTTTACAACTATATAGAAATATAGCTCATTTGCCTATGTTTGTTTGCATCCTGCCTCTTTTATTAGTTATAATCGGTTTTGTGTTTTGTTTGGAGCTTTATAACCATAAGATCATGTGTAGATATAATTTTACACCTATTCTTTATTTCTAATTTAGATGCCTTTTATTTCTTTGTCTTACCTAATTGCTCTGGCTAGAACTGCCAGTGCTACGTTGAATACAAGTGGCAAATGCACCATCCTTTTCTTCTAGATGTTAGGAAAACAGCTTTCAGTGTTTCATCATTGATCATGATATTAACTGTTGGGTTTTTGTACATCCCATTGTCATGTTGCAGAAGATCCCTTCTATGCCTAGTTTATTGAGTATTTTTATTATAGAAGGGTGTTGTATTTCATCAATGTTTTCTCTGCATCAATTGAAATAGTCACGTGCTTATTCATTTTACTGTTACAGCATATTACACTGATTGATTTTTTATATGTTGAACCACCCTTGCATTTTGTGGATAAATCTCAAAGGGTGATAGTTTACAATCCTTTGATTATACAGAATTGCTGCTAGTATTTTGCTAGTATTGCTAGTATTTTGCTGAGATTTTTGCTTATATATTCATAAGGGATATAGTGCTGTATTTCTCTCTTTTGTGCTCCCTTTGTCTTTGGTATAAGGATAATGCTGTTATCAAAAAATGAATTAGCAAGTATTCCTTCTTCATATATTTTGTCAGAAGAGTTTGAGAAGAAATGATATTAATTCTTCTTTAAATGTTAGGTTGACTCACCAGTTAATGCAGCTATTTGGTCATAAATGTTTCTTTGTTAATCGCTTTCGATTACTAATTCAATCTCCTAGGTTATAGGTCTATTCAGATTTTCTCTTTCTTCTTGAGCCACTTTGGTAGTTTGTGTCTTTCTAGCGATTCATCCATTTCATCCAGGGCACCTAATTTGTTGCTAGACAGTTGTTCACAGTATACTCCTATAATCCTTTTGTATTTCTGTAAAGTTGGTAGTAATGGCTCTGCTTTCATTTATTATTTTAATAATTAGTCTTCCATCTTTTGCTCATTCAATATAGTGAAAGGCTTGATCTTTCAAAGAATCTACATTTTTTCATTCTACTGCTCTCCAACCTTCTATTTTATTGATTTATGCTCTAATTATGCTCTTTATTATTTCTTTCCTTCTGCTAGCTTTGGATTTAGTCTTCCACCTGGATTTATTTTGGGAGTGATATTGATGTAACTTCATGGAAATAATACTAGATAGAAAGTTAGTGGATAGATTCTCTATCTGATGAGAGTTTGGGGCAAGTCGAGTACCAGGTTACCAAGTTTTATTTTTTTCTCTGACCCAAAAAACAATTTGGCAGCCGGTGAGAAACTCTCACAGCTCTGGATGTGAGTTTAGGACCCTGCATTTCTACCTTTCAATTTCTTACTACTTTTTTGCACAGGGATCATGGCACAAGTTGCAGTTTCCACCCTGCCCATGGAAGATGAGGAGTCCATGGAAGATGAGGAGTCTGTTGAAGATTATTCCGTGGAGAGCAGGATGGTGGTGACATTTCTCATATCAGCTCTCGAGTCCACGGTGAGACCTTCTGTTCTAACATGATATAATTGGGTAGAACTGGGTGGTAGATAAGGTTGATTTGTTTTTGTAGAACTTATAATTTTATGATTTGTAGTTCTAATGAGTAGATCTTTTTCTGGAATAGTAGTTATGGTCAAACACTTCTAACCAAATGTGCCATGTTGTCCAGTCTGGTCTCAAAATATGGGGCTCAAGAGACCTGCCCACCTTGGCCTCCCAAAATACTGGGATTACAGGGGTAAGCCCCTGAATCTGGCCATATATTTTTCTTTTTATGGCTGAATAATACTCTGTGTATGTATATATTTCATTTTCTTTATCTATTCACCTACTGATGGGCATTAGGTTTGGGCTACCTTTTGGCCGCTGTGAATAATGCTGCTGTTAATCGGGTGTACAAATACCTGTTTGAGTCCCTGCTCTCAGTTCTTTTGGGTATATACGCTTAAAGGGTGTTGATGGATCATATAATTCATATTTTTGATTTTTCATATTTTTAAGGAGCTGCTAAACCATTTTCCACAGTGGGCTGTACCATTTTACATTCCAAAAAGCAATGCATACAGCTTCCAATTTCTCTATAGCATTGCTGACAGTTAATATTTTCTGTTTATGTATTGTATTTTTATAGTGTATGAAATTAATCTGAGGCTTTTTGCTGATACCAAAATATTAGGAAAGGTTTTCCAAAAATAATACTGCTTATTATAAAGGATTTTACGTGTTACTTGATGCCCTGTGATCTGTTTTCTAAGTAAGAAGAGGAACTTCTTGGCTGGGCACAGCGGCTCATGCCTGTAATCCTAGCACTTTTGGAGGCCGAGGTGGGTAGTTCACCTAAGGTCAGGAGTTCAAGACCAGCCTGGCCAACATAGTGAAACCCAGTCTCCACTAAAAAAAAAAAAAAAAAATTAGCTGGGTGTGGTGGGGGGTGCCTCTAACCCCAGGTATTTGGAAGGCTGAGGAAGAGAATTGATTAAACCCATAAGGCAGAGGTTACAGTAACCGAGATTGCACCACTGCAGCCCAGCCTGTGTGACAGAGCGAGAGTCCATCTCAAAAAAATAAAAGGAAAGAAAGAAGAGGAACTTCTCTCCATCCAGCCTCATTCCACTGCACCAACTCTTCTGTGTCGTGTTGTGCAAGGGAGAAAGGGAGCTTGGCAACTCTTTGCTGTGTTGAGTTGTGGTAGCCCATCACTGGGTTGTAAAGTGCCTTGCCTCCTTTCCTCCCCTCCTTTTTTTTGAGACAGAGTCTCACTCTGTCGTCCAGGCTGAGGTGCAGTGGTGCGATCTCTGCTCACTGCAACCTCAGCCTCCTGGGTTCAAGTGATTCTCCTGCCTCAGCCTCCCAAGAAGCTGGGACTACAGGCACATGCCACCACACCTGGCTAACTTTTTTTATTTTTAGTAGAGACAGGGTATCACCATGTTGTCCAGGCTTGTCTTGAACTCCTGACTTCAGGTGATCCACCCACCTTGGCCTCCCAAAGTGCTGGGGTTAAAGGCATGAGACACTGCGCCCGTCCACCTCCTCTTTTACTTGGGAGAAATGCACAGATTCTGGGTGCCATGTGCATTTGTTTTGGGAGTGATAATTGATCTAACTTATGGAAATAACACTAGATAGTTAGCGGATGGATTCTGTATCTGATGAGAGTTTTGGACAAAATGAATTCCTAGTTTCTGAGTCTTATTTTTCCCCTGATTCAAGAAAACTGTGAATTATCCAGCCAGTAAAAAACTCTCACAGCTCTGGATGTGAGTTTAGGACACTGGATTTCTACCACTCATTTTCTTACTACTTTTCTTGTGCAAGGATCATGGCACAAGTTGCAGTTTCCACCCTGCCCATTGAAGATGAGGAGTCTGTTGAAGATGAGGAGTCCTTGGAGAGCAGGATGGTGGTGACATTCCTGTCAGCTCTCGACTCCATGGTCAGACCTTCTGTTCTCACATTCTGTATTTCAGTAGGACTGGGCGGTAGATAAGGTTGATTTGTTTTTGTAGAACTTACAATTTTGTGATTTTTAGTTCTAATGAGAAGACCTTTTTCGTGAATAGTAGTTACGGTCAAACACCTCTGACCAAATGTGCATGTGGAGTTTCTACACTGATTTTCAGACAATCTGGATCCCAACTGGGTATCCCACAATTCTATCCTGACACTCCCTGGAGTTAGTGCAGACCCCGCAGGAGGGGCGCTCAGTCCCAGGAGTCTACTCTCACTCCACATGCCAATTGCAAGTCTTGGGTTGTTACATGTAGTTTTGACCAACCAGTTAGAAAACAAGGTTTAATGACCCTCATTGGTGGGTGGAATCATTTGCTCGGACAGCTTGCAGAACTCAGAAAAACAGATTGTTTTCTTTTTTTTCTGAGATACAGGGTCTCAGTCTGTTGCCAGGCTGGAATGCAGTGGTGTGATCAAAGCTCACTGTAGCATGGGACTCCTGGGCTCAAGTGATCCTCCCACCTCAGCCTCCCAAATAGCTGAGATTATAGGCCTGTACCAGCATATCTGGCTATGTTCTTTTACTTTTTGTAGAGATGGGGTCTTGTTATGTTGCCCAGGCTGGTCTCAAATTTCTGGGCTCACGTGATCCTCCCACCTCAACTTCACAAAATGCTGGGATTATGGGCATGAACCACTGCATCTCACCAATTTACTTTCTTTTACTGGTTCATTTTAAAGGCTAAATCTCAGGATGTTGTCAGACTCCTGGCCTCAAGTGATCATTCTGCCTCAGCTTCCCAAAGTGCTTGGATTATATGTAGGTGGGAGCCACCTGTGTTCAATGCCCATTTTCTTTTTCTTTCTTTCTTTTGGAGACGGACTCTTACTCTGTCATGCAGGCTGGAATGCAGTGGTGTGATCTCAGCTGACTGCAACCTCCACCTCCCTGGTTCAAGCAACTCCCCTGCCTCAGCCTCCAGACTAGCTGGAATTACAGGCCCATGTCACCACTCTCAGCTAATATTTTTGTATTTTTAGTAGAGACAGAGTTTCAGTATGTTGGCCAGACTGGTCTCGAACTCCTGAAATCAGGCAATCCACCCACCTTGGCCTCCCAGTGTGCTGAGATCAGAGGCGTGAGTCACCACGCCATGCCCAGCCATTTTTAAAATAATAACGTTATTGAAATATGGTTAACGTATCATGCAATTCATTTATCAAAGTACGCAATTCAGGCCAGGTGCAGTGGCTAATTCCTATAACGCTAAGACTTTGGGCAGCTGAGGCAGGTGGATCGCTTGTGTTCAGGAGTTTGCGACTAGCCTGGGCAACATGGCAAAACAGCATCTCTAGCAAAAATACAAAAATTAGCTGGATGTGGTGGCTCATGCCTGTAGTCCCAACTACTTGGGGACATGAGACTGGAAGATCACTTGAGCCCAGAAGCCATAGGTTGCAGTGAGACCAGATGGCACCACTGCACTACAGCATGGGTGACAAAAGGAGACCCTGTCTTTAAATAACTAAAGAAAAAAAGAAAGTATACAATTGAGTGGTTTTTAGAATATTCAAGGAGCTGTGCAGTATACATACAGATGGATAATTGTATAAATAAGTACAGATGTGTATAAATGTGTGAGTATACATACATATATTTTCTAGCTCCTCTAACAAAAGGGCCTAGAAACAACATCATCCCAGTAACAATGAGAACACCATTCTCCAATTAAAGGAACCAAGGCTCCTTGGGGACATATTTGATATCAGGATTGGCCAGGGAAAATACAACATTAGTTTGAAATATTTTGTCATGTTAGGAAGTAAGGAAATGCTCACAAAATGGGGAAAATGTGAAAGGGAAACAGATCCATTTTGAATAAACTTCCATAGCCAAATTTGAGAAAATTGGGGCAATAAAATAGATAACAATAGTAATATATTACAATCTACAGAAGAAAATTTTCAATTAATCCAGGCCAGGTGCGGTTGCTGATGCCTGTATTCCCAGAACTTTGGAAGGCAGAGGCGGGCAGGTCACTTGAGGTCAGGAGTTCGAGACCAGCCTGACCAATGTGGTGAATCCCTGCCTCTACTAAAAATACAAAAATTAGCCGGGCATGGTGGCCCATGCCTGTAGTCCCAGCTACTCTGGAGGCTGAGGCAGGAGAATGGCTTGAATCCCGGAAGGTGGAAGTGCAGTGAGCGGAAATCGCACCATTGCACAACAGCCTGGATGACAAAACAAGACTCCAACTAAAAAAAAATCCATATTGACATAAATAATAAACCAAAGATTGAGAATGGGTAGTATTTATTACAGTAAAATTTCATTAAATGTAGGAGACATAAAATATAAGAATCATCACTTTGCAAATATCACAGTAATAATTGTTGCAAGAAAGAACCTTGGAGGGATGCTAAGATTAGTGGTGAATATATGTTGGGAAAGAACATATTTGCATAATATGAAAGTATCTTCCCACAACATAATTATAGAATAGTAACTTCAAAGTGGAGATGTCAACTTAGCCAAGTGATCAAAGTTAACGTTACTAATAATAAGATAAATGAACTTCATGTAACTTCTTATATGATGCACTGAGTAGGACAAAACATCAATTCTATGGTATTCTTAGACAAAATGTATAACTTTAGTCCTAACCGTGAGAAAACATCAGACTAACTGAAATTGAGGAGGGACATTCTACAAAATAACTGCCAGTATTCATCAAAAGCATTTTAGAAAGACTGAGGAATTCTCCAGAGACATGGAGGCATGTTATCTAAGTGCAATGGAGAACATGCATTGTATCATGAACCAGAGATGGACAACAGTAGGATATGTACAATAACACCCCAACATTTGAACATTAAACAAAATACTTCAGAAAAACCCATTGGCCAAGAAAAGTTTCACACACAAAAAAAAAAATAGTTTAAACTGAAAGAAAATTTTTTAAAAACTTAATAAAATGTGGGATGCAGATAAATCTTTTCTTAAAGGTACATTTATAGATGTAATATACTGAAAATAAAAGGCTTCAATCAATGACCTTTAGGTTCTTTTTTAAGAGGCTAAAAAATGAGCAAAGTATATCCAAATTAAGAAGAAGGAAGATGATAAAGATAAAAATGTAAACCAACAACATAGCAAATAACAAAAGGTGGAGCTAATTAATATACCCACAAATTGGTTCTTTGAAAAAAATTTTTTTAATAAACAATGGCTAGCAAGATTTATCTCGAAAAAATTTAGAGAAGCTACATAATGTAGATAATGGGAATTAAATAGAAGATGTAACTACAGAACCTACAGACATCAATATAATTATGAAAACTTTAGGCCAATACATTTGACAATTAAAATAACATGGGAAATTATTTGTAAAACTAATTCTTAAAACTGATGCAAAATGAAATAGAAAAAGTAATAGCTTCTCTATGTATTGAAGAATTTTTTTTAATTTAAAAAGATTTCTATACTTACAGGCTACATGCTTTCTTAGGTGAATTCTATCAAACATTTAAGAAAGTACAGAGAGTCCTCAACTTACAGTGGTTTGACTTGTGCTCTTCTGACTTGATAATGGTGCTTTCATCTGTGTACATTAATGATGAGCATCAATATGACCAGTTTTTCACTATCAGTGTAGTTTTCAATAAATTTCATGAGATACTGAATATTTTAAAATGGGTCTTGTGGTAGATGATTTTGCCCAATTGTAGGATAATGTAAGTGTTCTGAGCAAGTTTAAGGTAGGCGAGGCTAAGTCATGATATTCAGTAGGTTAAATATATTAAATGCGTTTTAGACTTACAATATTTTCAATTTAGGATGAGTTCATTAAGACATAAGACAATTGTAAGTTAAGGAATATCTATAATATCAATCTTGAACGGACTCTTTTTAAGAAATAGAATTTAAGGGCCAGGCACAGTGGCTCACACATGTAATCCCAGCACTTTGGGAGGCCAAGACTGGCAGATCACCTGGGGTCAGGAGTTTGAGACCAACCTGACCAGCAAGGAGAAACCCCCGTCTCTACTAAAAGTACATAATTAGCAGGGTGTGGTGGCGCTTACCTGTAATCCCAGCTCCTTGGGAGACAGAGGCAGGAGAATAGCTTGAATCTGGGAGGCAGAGATTGTGGAGAGCCTAAATTGTGCCATTGCACTCCAGCCTGGGCAACAAGAGTGAATCTCCGTCTCAAAAAAAAAAAAAAAAAAAAAAGAAAATTTAAAGGGACATTTCCTATCTTATTTTATGAACCCAGTATTGCCGATTCCAAATCGAGACAAAGGCATTATACAACTTTGATGTTTATCCCTCATAAACATAGACTCAAAAGTCCTTAAAACATAATAACCAATTGAATGTAGCAGTACATAGAATGGATAATAAACTGTGAACAAATTAATTTTCTAGCAAGATTGCAAAGTTAATTTATTATTTGAAAGATCAGTTTAATCAATTTTATTCACCTGGATGGTTACATCTGGCAAAACTCAGCAAACTGTGCACTTTAAAATAGTATTTATTTTATGTAAATTATGTTTCAATACAATGGATTTAAAAAAAAAAAACTTTTCCCAGAGTGATCAAAGTTGAGGGCAGGGAACAGTAAACATCAGTGCTTATGTTATAGCTACTAGAAGCCTCCCAATTCCAACGACATGCTTTCAAGCAGGTCTGATCCTTCCCCTGGAGGATACCTCTGACCCAGGTGTGCTACAAATGCATTGCCCCTAGTTGCTTCTGTCACCTTAGTGATGGAAGTGACAACAGGTTACTGGAGAAAGAAAAGGTGTACAGGGTTCCAAATATACATTCTATTTCCAAAGGACATTTGTGAAGCCAGTGGAAAGCGAACAAACAAGCTGCTAAATAAGTCACAAGTGTGTTCTCATACAGTTTTGCGATTAACTAAATAGGACATTCAACAGATAAAATTTGTTTTACATAGTTACTCCTCTAATAGGATGAACTTGTGGATTGTGAGATAGAGCTGATATAACCTGTTTTCTCTCTGCCTCTTTTTTTTCCCCCAAGTTTTGTGTGCAATACATTAGGAAAAATATAATTGGGCTACAAAGCTACAAAAATGGCTTCCTGGCAGTTCCATGCTTGTTTCCATGTGGTGCCTATATTTGGCACTGTGTTCTCATTTGCACTTTCCTGCTTGATTAGTTAATGTATGAAGGACAAGCCTGATCTCTACTGTGAATTTTTACCAAGGTATTCTAGTAGAAAAATGAGTATGTAATGGTGCTGTGGCATGCTAAAGTGTGTAAAACATTAAGAATCTAAAAATATGCTGATTTCCAAGTTTTGTCCCAGAGCAACTGTGCACTCTGATTATATCGCTACTGCTATTTAAAGTTATCCATTTGCATGTCTAAAAAATAGATTCATACTGATTGTCCCATTTTGATCTCAAAAAACTCCGGAATATGAGAGTCGTGATCAAGGGACGCTTCATGAAATGTTCCAAAGTTAAAGTGTGCAATGAAACCAGATTTATCATAGCCTTATTTAAAATAATTATTTCTAAAATTGTTATTGTTTAATTATAAACGGTATCCTTTCAGGATACTTGGAAGATCCATAGCAGTGCTTTTATTTTCACAGAACAAGCATAAATTATTTATGAAATAATAACTCAGATACAGAGATTACTTCCTATTGGCCTTACATATGAATATAAATAAATACATATTATGAACATGAGCATACTTATTTTATAATTATGTAAATGTGTGTGTAATGTTATATATAAGTTCAATAAAGTCATGCTTATACATGGTTTCAATTCATGCTTCTAAAAACCACTCAATGTAGTCATTATCATATGTTAATAAATAATCTCTGAAAATGTGCTTCTAGTAGTTTCACAATATCCCATCATAAAGATTGTCATGCTGTTTTTAAGTCATACTTTTGGGTATATAAGTTATATCTGATATTTTTCTGCTACATATATACTATTATAAATCTATTAGTAGCTGATTTTTTGTCAACACATATGATTGTTTCCTCATAGTACAAGAGTTGGTTGTAACTTTATTTCCTTCCAACATTTATTTTAGGTTCAGCGGGTACATGTGCAGGTTTATTATATGGGTAAAATGTGTGTCAATGGGATTTGGTGTACAGATTAGGTAGTCATCCAGGTAGTGAACGTAATATCTAATAGGGAGTTTTTTGATCCTCACTCTCCACCAACCCTCCACCCACAGTAGACCTTGTGTCTATTGTTCCCTTCTCTGTGTCCATGTGGACTCAATGTTTAGCCCCCACTTATAAGTGAGAACATGCAGTGTTTGTTTGGTTTTCTGTTCCTTCATTAATTCACTTAGAATAATGGTCTCCAGCTCCATTCATGTTGCTGCAAAAGACATTATTTCATCCTATTTTATAGGTGTGTAGTATTCCATGGTGTATGTACGCTGCATTTTTTTAATCCAGTCTTCTGTTAACAGGCATCTAAGTTGATTCCGTGTCTTTGCTATTGTGAATAGTGTTATAATGAAAATATGCGTGCATATGTCTATGACAGAATGATTTATATTCCTTTGGGTATATACCCAATAATGGGATTGCTGGGTTGAATGGTAGTTCTGTTTTAAGTTATTTCAGAAATCTCCAAACTGCTTTCCACAATGGCTGAACAAATTTACATTCCTGATGAAACTGGAGACTTCCCTGACTCCCCTTGGCAGGATGTGCAACAGGGGTGTGGCTTGTCTGGCCACCGTGTGTGCTGTCAAACCCCTTACTGGGCAGGGGAGCATGCAGACAGGCAGGTGCAATAGGCAGGGCAAGTGGCCATGGTACTGTCTAGGGGTGGGTTCCTGCGACTCCCACAGCCCAAGTGGGCATGTGTTACAGTGCACTCTTTTAGCTTTGCCATCCACAGACGGCTTAAGTGTTAACCTGTTCAGTGCCCTCTTGGTACCCAGTTCCTTGTCCAGCATCCAGAAAGAATTAAGTTGCACACAGACTTGAGGATGGTGAATGTGGGGGTTTTATTGAGTGGTGGAGGTGGCACTCAATGGGATGGATGGGGAGCTGGAAAGGGGATGGAATGGGAAGATGATCTTCCCCCGGAGCTTTGCCATCCAGAGGCTGATCTCTCCAACCACTGCCAGCCAAACTCCTCTAGGCATTCAGATGCTCCTTCTCTTCTTTCTGCCACATCATTCTGCAATTCTGCTCTTCTGTTCATCTCCTCATCTGCTTGCCATCCAGAGGCTGATCTCTACAACCACTGCCAGCCAAACTCCTCTTGGCATTCAGATGCTCCTTCTCTTCTTTCTGCCACATCATTCTGCAATTCTGCTCTTCTGTTCATCTCCTCATCTGCTTGTCTGCTTCTGGAGCCTGGGGTCTGGGGCATATATGGGTACAGGACAGGGGGTGCATGGTGAGCTGAAAGACAACTTTTGGGTGCAAAAGCAGGAATGCCTGTTCCCATTTAGGGCCATGGGTTTCCAGGCTTGTGGGCAGGGCTTTGCCAGGGAACCACTCTCTTCTACCCAGTATTTCCCTGTCTCCTTTCTATATCACCACCAGCAGTGTATAAGCATTCCCTTTTTTCCACAAACTCGGCACCGTCTGTTATGTTTTGATTTTTTAATAATAGCCATTCTGGCCGGTGTGATATGGTATCTCATGGTTCTGATTTTCTGATGATTAGTGATGTTGAGTATTTTTTCATACGGTTGTTTGCCATACATACGTTGTATTTTGAAAAAAGAATTCACAGACGGCTTAAGTGTTAACCCTTTCAGTGCCCTCTTGGTATCCAAGTCCTTGTCCAGCATTCAGAAAGAAGTTGCACATGGACTTGAGGATGGTGAATGTGGGGGCTCATGTTCTTTGCCTATTTGTAGTGGGTTTGTTTTTTGCTTATTGATTCTTTATACATGCTAAGTATTAGACCTTTTTCAGATATGTAATTTGAAAATATTTTCTTCTGTTCTGTAGGGTGTTCTCTGTTGATAGTTTCTTTTGCTGTGCTGAAGCTCTTTAGTTTCATTAGGTCCCACTCATCAATTCTTCTTGTTGCAATTGCTTTTGGAATCTTCATCATGAAATATTTGCCTGCGTCTATGTCCAGAATGATATTTCCTAAGTTTTCTTCTAGGGTTTATATAGTTTTGGGTCTTACATAAGTCCTTCATCCATCTTGAGTTGATTTTTTTATATGGTGAAAGGAAGGGAGTGTACATGCCCCTGTGATATTGTTCCTAATATCCAGGTTGGGAGAGGATATTATACTCAATATTGCAGGAAGTGTCGACCACCCTGAATATTGCTTTTAATATCCGGGGAGAGAGGGTGATATTACTCCCAATATCATCCTCTCCCCCCACACCCTGCATAGTACAAGCAATATCAAAGGGGGTCTGTGCAACACCTGCAATATTGGGAGTAATATCCTCCCCCAACATGGATATTAGAAACAGTATCACAAGGGGTTGTACACCACCTGTGATATTATGGAGTACTATCATTTTCTTTCCCCATGGATATGTAGAACAATATCACAAAGGTGGTGTACAACCCCTGCCATATTGGGAGTAATACTGTACTTTCCCCACCTAGATATTAGGAACAATATCACGGGGGGTTATACACCACTGCAACATTGGGAGTAATATCATCCTTTCCCTCCCTGGATATTAGGAACAATACCTCATGGGTGTGTACACCCTGTTCCATATTGGGATTAATATTTTCTCCCTTGCTGGACATAAGGAAAAATATAACGGGGGGTATACACTCCTTATGATATTGCCAGTAATATTATAGACTTCCCAAAGGGATATTAGAAAAAGTATCAGAGAGGGGTGTACATCCCCTGCGATATTGGGAATAATATTCTTTCATCCCTGGATATTAGGAATAATATCACAAAGGGGTTTTATACCCCCCGTGACATTTTAATTAATATCATCTTCCCCACTGAATATTAGGAACAAATTCCCAGGGGTGGTACACCACCTGCAATATGGACAGCTATATCATTGTCTCTCCCCCGAATATAAGGAACAATATCACAAGGGGGTTGTACAACCCCTGTGATATTGGGAGTAACTTTATACCCTTTCCACATGGATATTAGGAACAATATCACAGGGTGGGTGTACACCCACTGCGATATTGGGAGTAATATCATCCTCCACCCCCTGGGTATTATGAACAATATCATGGGGAGGGGGTGTATGCCCTCTGTGATATTGGGAGTAATATCATCCTGTCCCCTCTGGATATTAGGAATGATATCACAGCGGGGCTGTACCTTTTCTGCACTATTGGGAGTGGTATCACCCCCTCCCCCTATGGATATTAGGAACAATATCACAAAGGGGGTGTACACATCCTGTGATATTGAGAGTAATATTGTTCACTCTTCCCTGGGATATTAGGAACAATATCACAGGCAGAGTGTACACCCCCTGCTATTTTACCTGTAATATTATTCTCATCCAACTTGGATATTAGGAATAATATAACAGGAGGGGTGTACACCACCTGTGATATTGGGAGTAATATCATTCTCTCCCCCCATGGATATTGAGAACATTATCACAGGGGCGGTTTACACTTCCTGCGCCATTTAGAGTAATATCATCCTTTTCCCCCATGGATATTAGGAACGATATCGCATGGGAAGTGTACACGCCCGCCATATTGGGAGTAATATTTTCTCCCTTGCTGGACATTAGGAACAATATCACGGGAATGCACACACCCTGCGATATTGCCAGTAATATTGTAGTCTCCTCCCAGGATATTAGGAACAATATCACAAGGGGGGTGTACATGCCCTGTGATATTGGAAGTAATATCATCGACTCCCCCCACGGATATTAGTAACAACATCAGAAGGGGTGTACACCCCTTGTGATATTTATAGTACTATCATCCTATACCCCCTGGATATTAGGAACAATACAACGGAGGGGTGTATACCCACTGTGATATTGGGAGTAATTTCATCCTCTACCCCTTGGATGTTAGGAGCAGTATCACAAGGGGGGTGTCCACCCTCTGTGATATTAAAAATAATACCATTCTCTCCTTCTCTGGATACTAGGAATAATATCACAGTGCTGGTGTGCACCCTTTACACTATTTGGAGCAATATCACCCTCTCCCCAACTTGATATTAGAGACAATATCATGGGGGGTGGCGTGTAACACCCTGCACTGTTGGGAGTACTATCATCTATTCTTCCCCTGGATATAAGAAACAGTATCACAGAAGGGGTCTACACCTCCTGAGATTTTGGGAGTAATATCATCCTCTCCAAATCTGGATATTAAGAACAGTATAATGGGGTGTAGGGAGTAATATGGTGGGAGTAATACAATCCTCCTCCCCACTTGATATTAGGAACAATATCGCAAAACGTGTGTACACCCACTGTGACATTTGGAGTAATATCAACATTTCCCCACCTGGTATCACGGGGAGAGTGTACACTCCTTATGATATTGGAAGTATCATTGTCTCTCACTCTCGATATTAGGAAAAATAGCACAGGGTGTGTATACACTTCCTGTGATTTTGGGAAGAACATCATACCCTTCTGTCTTTGATATTAGGAACAATATCACAGAGGGGATGTACAACTTATGTGATATTATAATATTCTTTCTTCCCATGGATATTAGGAATGATATCCCGGGGGGCTTGTTGTACACCCCCTGTGATACGGACAGTAATATCATTGTCCTTCCCCCTACATATTAGAAACAATATCACAAGGGTGGTATACATCCCCTGGATATTAGAAACTATCACAGGGGGGCTGTACAACCTCTTTGATACTGTGAGTAATGCCATTGTCTCCCCTCCTGGGTATTAATAACAATATCATAGGGTGGGTGTACACCCCCTGCAATATTGGGAATAATATCATCCTGTCTTCCCCGGGATATTAGGAATGGTATCACAGGTGGGGTTTACACCCCCTGCAATTTTGTCAGTAATATTACTCCTGGATGTTATTGAATATATCACAGTGGGGGTGTACACCCCCTGTGATATGGGGAGTAATAGCATCCTCTTTCCCACTGGATACTACAAACAATATCGCAGATTGTGTACAACGTCCTGTGATATTGTTCACAATATTTAGGGAAGGAGAGGATGATATTACTCCACATATCACAGGGAGTGTTACATCCCCTGTAATATTGTTCATAATATTTAGAAGACGACAGGATGATATTACTCCCAATATAGTAGGAAGTATACACTACCCTGTGATACTGTTCATAATTTTTAGGGGATTAGAGGATGATATTACTTCCAATATCACAGGGAGTGTACACTGGTGATATTGTTTATAATTTTCAGTGGATTAGAAGATATTATTCCGAATATCACAGGGGTTGTACATCCCCAAGTGATATTGTTAATATCCAGTGGGGAAGAGGATGTTATTACTCCCCATATCACGGGGGATGTAAACCCGTTTGTGGTATTGTCACTTACATCCGGGGGGTAGAGGATGATATTACTCTGCATATCATAGAGGGTGCACACGGCTGTAATGTTGTCCATAATAACATCCAGAGAGGAAGAGAATATTATTCCCATGTTTCAGAAGGTGTACACACCCCTGTGATAGTCTCTGTAACATTTAGGGAAGAAGGGGATGATACTACTCCAGATATTGCAGGGGGTGTACACCCCCCTGTGATACTGTTCGTAACGTTTAGGGGGAAGAGGATGATATTACTCCCCATATCGAAGGGATTGTACATCTCCCTATATATTGTCCATAACATCCAGGACAGGAGAGGATATTACTACTCCCCATATCACAGGGGGTGGACAACCCCCTCTAAATATGTCTAACATCCAGGCGGGGACAGGAGGATATTTTTCCCCATAACCTAGAGAAAGTAAACCTCCTGCGATTTTGTCCATAACATCCAGTGGGGAGAGGATGATATCACTCCCCATATTGCAGGGGGTGCACACTCCACTCTGATATTGGCCGTAATATCCGGGGGGGTGAAGTATGAAGTCACTACACATATCGCAGGGATTATTAGTATCAGATTGTTTGAAGGACTCACAGTAAGGGTAGTAGTAGGGCGAGTTCTAACTCAAATAGGGGAAATGTGATGGCTACTAGAAAGAATTTTATGGAGAAGGGAATGTGGGCAGAGGATAGAGGGTCAAATCTGCATTCATAAGGGCTAGACTTTTCTATATATATTTATTTTATACATATATATATATTTTTATCTCTCTCTACATATATATATTAAGTTGTGGGAGCCAAAATGTAATAATTATTAGTAACAGGGCTAATAGGGTGTTGATTACTAGGGTTAATGTTAGGTGAATTACTGTTTTTCGGATGCTATCAAAACTTTGGAAATCATGGTACTATTTATACTAAAAGAGTAAGATCCTCATCAATAAGTAGAAACATACAAGAATAGTCATACTACATCTACAAAGTGTCGATATCAGGCAGCGGCTTCAAAGGCAAAGTGATGACTAGATGTAAAGTGGTATTTTAATTGGCGGAGAAGGCAGACTGAGGAATGTTGATCCAATAATGACGTGAATTCTGTGAAAGCCTGTAGCTATAAAAAATGTTGAGCCATAAATACCATCAGAAATAGCAAAGGGAGCTTTGAAGTATTCTGAGACTTGTAGGAGGGTGAAGTAAATATCTAATATAATTGTAACAGGTAGTGCTTAGATTGTATGTTTTTGATTATTTTTTGTTAGGCTGTGATGGGCTCAAGTAATTGAAACTCCTGATGCAAGTAATACAGATGGATTCAGGAGAGGTACTTCCAGGGGGTCAAGGGGAGAAATACCTGTTGGGGGTCAATGCCCTCCTAATTCTGGAGTAGGGGCTAGGCTAGAATGGTAGAATGCTCAAAAGAATCCAGCAAAGAGGAATATTTCTGAGATAATAAATAGGACTGTCCCATCATTGGAAGCTCCTGCATACCATAAGCTACTAGAGGTCAGTAAACATATTTGTGTGTATCCTGGAGTACCTAGAAGACAGTCTTCCATGTAAGAAGCATTTTACTTGTTGTTTTTTGAGATGGGGTTTCACTCTGTCACCCAGGCTGGAGGGCACTGGTGAGATCTTGGCTCACTCCAATCTCCATTTCCTAGGCTCAGGTGATCCTCACACCTCAGCCATCCAAGTAGTTGAAACAATAGAGCTATGTCACCATAGACCTGTGTCACCATGCTGGGCTGAGTTTTGTAGAGATAGGGTTTTGCCTTGTTACCCAGGCTCTTCTTTAACTGTTGGGCTCAAGTGTTCTGCTCGCCTCAGCCTCTCAAAGTGCTGGGGTTACAGACATGAGACATTCAGCCTTAATAGTTGTTTAATCTGAATAAATAAACAAATGAATTTTTATATAATGGAATGTTATAAGTAATATAATAAACCTAATGTATCTAATCATTAAATATTGTATTTAAAACATTGCTTACATTGTATTATTTTTTAATATTTAAGGGTGTATAAGTTTTGACATGTTATGTTGAGAAATTATGCAATAATTAAAAAGGAAATAAAAGAGAAATAGGTCATCGGTAGCAAAGAGGGTTACAATATATTTTCTAGTATCATTCAACTGGAATCTTAACATTGAGATTTTAGATTAACATTTCTTAAGGTTTTTATTAGACCCAACTCATGTTCCATTAAATATACCGTTTCAAGCCATACATTACTCTTTATTATTATTATTATACTTTAAGTTCTAGGGTACATGTGCACAACGTGCAGGTTTGTTAAATATGTATACATGTGCCATGTTGGTGTGCTGCACCCATTAACTCGTCATTTATATTAGGCATATCTCCTAATGCTATTCCTCCCCTCTCCCCCCACCCCATGACAGGCCCTGGTGTGTGATGTTCCCCATCCTGTGTCCAAGTGTTCTCATTGTTCAGTTCCCACCTATGAGTGAGAACATGTGGTGTTTGGTTTTCTGTCCTTGCAACAGTTTGCTCAGAATGATGGTTTCCAGCTTCATCCATGTCCCTACAAAGGACATGAACTCATCATTTTTTATGCTGCATAGTATTCCATGGTGTGTAAGTGCCACATTTTCTTAATCCAGTCTATCATTGATGGGCATATGGGTTGGTTCCAAGTCTTTGCTATTGTGAATAGTGCCACAATAAACATACATGTGCATGTGTCTTTATAGCAGCATGATTTATAATCCTTTGCATATATATCCAGTAATGGGATGGCTGGATCAAATGGTATTTCTAATTCTTGATCCTTGAGGAATCTCCACACTGTCTTCCACAATGGTTGAACTAGTTTACAGTCCCACCAACAGTGTAAAAGTGTTCCTATTTCTCCACATCCTCTCCAGCACCTGTTGTTTCCTGACTTTTTAATGATTGCCATTCTAACTGGTGTGAAATGATATCTCATAGTGGTTTCAATTTGCATTTCTCTGATGGCCAGTGATGATGAGCATTTTTTCATGTGTCTGCCATACATTACTCTTTAGAATTCTGGTGACCAATTCTTTTTCTGGGTGGAAAGTTGATGGAAAGTTCCAGTTTTCTCTCTCTGTTATAATAATGTTCTTTCAGGTAATGGTAGATGACCATATTTAGCTAATTGAATGTCTTATAGTAAGAAACACTATCACAGAAGTACTTACAAAAAACTAATTGCAGCATAAATACTAATTAGTATTATCAGAGTTATGAAAGACCGAAGGCTCTGTTATAGATCTATTTCCCCATGTACTTTATTGTACTTCATGTTTTTCGTTTTCTTTCTTGGCTTAAGCTCATATTTCATTGACTAATTAGGCTTGTTTTTTGTTTGTATCTCTCTTTGTTCTCACATTTTAAATTGAAATTTTTGGGGAGGCAGGGTCTAGCTCTGTTGTCCATGCTGCAGTGTAGTGGCATGATCTTGGCTCACTGCTGTATCCACCTCTCAGGCTCAAGTGATCCTCCCACATCAGCTTCCCAAGCAGCTGGGACTACAGGCACACACCATCATGCCTGACTCCTTTTGGTATTTTTTGTGTAGAGATGTGTCCTCATTATGTTGCCCAGGCTGGTCTCCAACTCCTGAACTCAAGCAATCCACCCACCTTGGCCTTGCAAAGGGCTGAGATTACAGGTGTGAGCCACCATGCCTGGGCAACATTGAGATTGATTTAAAGAAATTGATTAGGGCTGGGTGTGGTGGTGCACAATGCTTATCTCAACATTTTGGGAAGCAGAAGTGGAAGATTTGCTTGAGCCCAGGAGCTTGAGACCAGCCTGGGAGGTATAATGAGGCCTTGTCTCTACAAAGATAACAATAAAAACATTAGCATGACATGATGGTATGCACCTGTAGTTCCAGCTATTCAGGAAGTTGAGGTGGGAAGATTGCTTGAGGTCAGGAGTTTGAGACCACAGTGAGCCATAATCAGGCCCCTGCATTCTAGCCCTGGGTTGACAGAGTGAGACCCAGTTTCATAAAAAGAGATTGATAAGAAACTCTTGATGCAACTCATTATAATTTTAAATGGAAACTAATTCTTGATATTACCTTAGCAGTGTGTCCCCCAGAAAGTGTCAGAGCCTTTACGTGGACCTTCTCATGAAAACGGAAACAGAATAGTCAATGGAAAAGGAGAAGGTGAGAACCGTATTTTATTTAAAAAGTCATTTGATGGAGACCAGACGCGGTGGCTCACGCCTGTAATTCCAGCACTTTGGGAGCCGGACGTTGGCGGGTAATGAGGTCAGGAGATCAAGACCATCCTGGCTAACATAGTGAAACCCCATCTCTACTAAAAACACAAAAAAATAGCCGGGCATGGTGGCGGGTGCCTGTAGTCCCAGCAACTCGGGAGGCTGAGGCAGGAGGATGGTGTGAACCTGGGAGGTGGAGCTTGCAGTGAGCGGAGATCGTGCCACTGCACTCCAGCCTGGGTGACAGAGTGAGACTCCATCTCAAAAAAAAAAAAAGTCATTGATGGAATGTTTCTTTTAAAATATGAGCACTAATAGAGTTTAATAGCTAAAGAAAATGTCCTATTAACTGTATCATAAGTAAAAGAGAAATGAAAAGGTGATAAGTGGTGTCTCTAACCAAGGGTCAGCAGTTGATTCTATTGGAAGTACCACTAAAGGAGCTGAGTTATGAGTTCCATTTTAACATACTCTAAGACCTGAGGCAAGTCAGGAGAGAGGGAAGAAGAAATGAATAAAAGAGAAAGAAAGAATGAGGAGGGCAGAGTGTACATGGAATAAATAAAAAAAAGTGGATGTATGTAATGGAGGGTAGTAAAGTCAAATTGATCTGTAGAAGAAGGAAGAACAGGGTGTTAGAAATAGGAAGGAAGATAAAGTGAGCTTCCAGTACCAAAATGTGTCATATAATTACAGTAACATTTTCCTTCTCTTGCTGTCATTCTTGCTACTGGGGAGGCATTAAGGATTGAGGTACTTTACCATGCAGACCTGTGTTTTATCTACCATAGATGAACATCACCGTAAATGGTCAGCCATGTATGGCTATAATTTGTTTTTATAGAAAATGAAAAGAATAGTGTTGGGTGATTTATTGGGAAGAAATTAATTAGAGAAGCTTTGCCTGATTAAAAGTTCATTAGAAACATTATGGCTTATAACGTAGTATTAAATTCAGGGACATAATAGGAAAGAAGTTGAGGCTAGGCCAAAAAGGCCAATTAGGGTAAACCAATATGGAAGCACACCAGTGTAGAACAGGGCATTCAAATTGTCATGAATTCGTTGAGGAGCTTCTGGAAAGTGCACATTCTGACTCAGCAGGTATTGGAGTCTGCATTTCTCATGAGCACTCAGGTGATGTTTGTGCTGGTCCTTGGACACAGCTCTGAATAGCAAGGGAATAGCCTTCCTTTAGAGAAATCTGGAAAAAGAACCACTGGAGAGCAATTTAAAAAATAACAGAATCCAGGGAAAGCTTTAATTTCCTTTTATTTCTGAGCATGATTCTAGCCACAAGGGAAGGAAAATGAGATGAAAAAAGAGAGATTACAGGTGTATACTACTGCTGAATACAGATGAAAAAAGTGGTCACAATCATCCATATAAAGCAGTTAGGAAGGGAAGCATCAGGATGACAGTTCTGATAATCATTTTTTCAAAGGAAGAGGGATGGTGAATGGACACAAAAGGAGGAAAGAAAGACATTTGCTGGGGTCTTGGGAGTTAAAGCCAAGTAAACTTGAGACAACTCACTTCCAGTTGCTTCAGCATATGCCCAGTCTCACAAAAGAGGTTATTGCTGTGGAGAGTACTGGAGACAGGAGGGAGTGCTAGAGTTGGGGTAAACCACAGCAGCTCATTTCACTTGATAACTGTCAGGCCTCAGGGAGAGAAGTTTCACTGACATGAGTGAATAAGATATGATTAAGTTGCATATAGATGCTTTGGCGAAATTTTTTTGAGACAGCCAGTTCTTTGATATGATAGCTGTTTTATAAAAGTCCTTTACAGTGTAAGATAATATACCAAACTTAGTTAATTTTAGAAGTAATCATAAAATTCATTCCATGAAAACCAAAATTATCATTTTTAATAAATACTGCACTGATTTTGAAATATAAATATGTATTAATATCCAGCAAGTCTGTGGTCATTCAATGTTTTCTTTTTTGATAAATATTTTGATATCAGAAGCTTATTCGACATGGTTTATTTGATGTGTTTTATGGACCACCTTGCATGAGTGGATCAAGGAGCTCTAATTCAAGGCCAAATGAGGGGATAGGAGAAATGTAGGTGCTGCAGTAGCCCATGTGATCATGGGAAAAATGAGTACTTTGATTAGCTGTTATTTCATAAGTGTGTATCCTAGCTGATCAATGTAGAACCCTTTCTTTGATGAGAGGTGAATCCCACATTCACCTGAACTGTCATCCCAACTGAGTATTTCCTCAGTGACAAGACAAGGGGAATTTATTTGTGCTGTGCTGGCAGCAATGCCTCTGGTGTGTGGAGTTAAAATACTCTGTACATTCACCATCAGCTTTGACATTGATTCTCTCAGGTTTGATTTGCCCCTCTGTTTAATGGTCCCTTTTCTCCTCATTAGTCCACGTGTTCACGGTTATATCAATGCTTTTCTATTTTAAGTATAGGCATTTGAAACATAATCTCACTACTGAAATGTAAACTGTGCATTTTGGGAATCCTATATTCCTATTTTCCTCATTGTGTTTCTGTCATGTTGCTGTCCTAGGCAATGAAAAGACGAAGCCAAGAAGAACCCTCAAAACCTTAAGTAAATATTTTTATAGCCAGGCCTGAGAATTCAGCTCGACAGTAACACTGCATGAATGTTTGGTTGGTCCTGTCATACTTACATATAATTGATGACATATCCCCTTTGCTTTGTAGGGCCTCCTGCAAAACATCCTTCCTTGAAGATAATTAATTATGTATATTTTTGAATCACTAACTCCATGTTGTATAAAATATATATGATTTATGAATCGTTTTCTTTTAAAACCCATTCAGCCTAGCACTGAAGTGGAAGATCCTGCTGTGAAAGGAGCAGTACAAAGAAAGAAAGTACAGACATTGAGAGCAGGTACATTTGATGTAATACTGGAAATAAAGTACATTCAATGATTGGATGTACTCATATTATTCTTATTCCTAATTCTATTTGTTCAATATTGAACAGAAGGCATTGACATAAATGTTATTGTTGGTATCCATATTTGAATAAAAACAAATTTAGAAGCATAAAAAAGATTTTAAAAATGTAAGCTTTAAGTCAGATGTTTCTGTTTTAATGTTTTGAATAGCATGAAGTTTTCAGTATAAAATTTTTATACTTGTCAGGGATTCAAAGCAGTGAATTTTGAGACTCTTAAGATATTTCCAGTGAGTTAAGTGCTAGTTGGAGTTCTGATCTTTACCTAGAGGAAAGCTTTACCTATTAAAGTGTCAGTTTCTGTTTTAACTTCAGAGGCTTGCTGCTAGTGTTATTACACTGATGATCTGAAGCTTATCAGATGTTCTAATGAGCAAGACTGTGTGTGTAGGTGTATATATAGATGTGTGTATGCGTGCGCTTGTGGCATCTTTCACTATTACAAATGACGAAAGTAATGATTCATTTATGACTGGTAGACACAGTCTTTTAAAATGGTGATTTTGAGCCTTTTTAGTGTTAAAGTTTTTAAAACATGATTGCATAGAGGCTACCAACATCATAAGTTGGTTGTTTTTCATTTCAATGCCCTTTTGAAATCTTTAACTACATTGTGATGCCCAGAAATAATATGCAGAATTTTTTGTGTCCTAAAATAGTATGTGAGTGGTTATATACTTTATATACCTTTCTGCCACTTTCTTTGGTGTGTTTTGTATTATATTTTCCACTTGTACCCACATTGGTGTGATTATCTCTGGTTTAATTCATTTTACACTGTTCATTGTATTCCCTCATACCACTTTACCACATTTAGTTAGACTCTCCTGTTGCTGATAAATGAAGAAATAAAAAGAAAAATAATGTCAGTTTAAGAGGGCTTTTCTTTAATCAGTTTGTATCTATTAGCATTTACTATATGAGAGTTTAAACCTGAAAAGTTCAGAATACAAGCATGCACCACCATATTTTATTAATGCCCTTAGAACTATGACTCATGAGCCTTTAGCCTATGAAGTTAGGACAATTCATTTCTCTGAAGAAGAATGCTGGGCTGTTCTCAGAAAAGAAAACTGAAAATAGCAAATGATATTGTCTTATTTTACCTCTTGGACATCCTTGAATGAAACTGCTACTAAAGGGATACTCGGATCAAAATTCAGATCTAATGTTTTGAACAGTATAGTTTGTGAATGTCCAGTGATCATGAGCCCTTGATGGGGAAATGACCTTTCGAGTTTCACTTTTGCATTTTTTGCTCTTTTCGTTGACTTGTCTTGAAAGCTTAAATTCAACTATTTTATTTTTACAGAAATCAGGAATATAACTTTTAAAATATATGTCTGTCCTGTCTCACGGTGTTGTGTACTCTTCAGATCTTGTATGAACATAGACTTATATGGGAACAATTAGGTTTTTTGTTTGTTTGTTTGTGTTTTTGAGACAGAGTCTTGTTCTGTCACCAAGGCTGGAGTGCAGTGGCTCAGTCTTGGCTCATTACCACCTCTGCCTCTCAGGTTCAAGCAATTCTCCTGCCTCAGCCCCTCGAGTAGCTGATACTACATGCACGTGCTACCATACCCTGCTAATTTTTCTATTTCTAGTAGAGATGGGGTTTCACCAGGTTGGCCAGGCTGCTCTTGAACTCCTGACCTCAGGTGATCTGCCCACCTCGGCTTGCCAATGTGCTGGGATTACAGGTGGGAGCCACTGTGCCAACTACAAATAAGATTTTTAAGGCTATTATATTTTATACAATTCTTTGGTCTATGTGAATTCTGGAGGTATTCATGCATTGAGGGAAGATTATCTCAGTTTAATGAAAGCAGTTTTTAATTTAAAGTATATTCATTAAAATTTTTTTTGAAGTTTTTTTCTCTAGTACACAGAAACACACAATAGTATCATGGGTATTTGACCTTAATGTGTTTATGCACAAACTTAGTTATTCAAATATTTTCCTATCCCTGAAGAATCTTAATTACTAATAAACAAATTTCTCATGGAAAACAACATATATAACAGAGATGGTTGAGTGATTGAAAGTAAACTGTAGTAAATACCAGAAGCTTAGAACAAGTTAAGTAAACTTGTCTGAGTTAATAGCAATTACAAGACTTTTAAAATACATTGGACCACGGGGGAGTAGTGCATTTGTGGGGTAGAGGACAACATGGTACTGCTTCAGTGAAGAAAGAACTTTTACACCTTATTACAATTTGTATTATTATTTACATTCTAATAAATAAAAACTTTATTTTCAGATATTTTACATCATGTTTCTACTAGTTGAACCATCAATAGTAAGACTTTTCAAAGATTTGGGAAGTTGTGAGTTGATGATAAATATCTGTATCACCATCAGTGATCAAAAATCAGACAGCAACTACCATAGATTTTGGACATGCGAACTTCATAGTTAAAGAAAGGATTAATCTTGGAGCTGTGTTTCTATCAAGGAATTACACTCTTCATTACCTGTGTGAATCGCAGTTATTAGAGTAGAAAGAGAGCAAAGAAGGGAAAGAAGCATAGAAAATTTTATTCTAGATTACCTCGTTTGGCTTCATGCTACCATAGTTCTGACTTTTAAAGAGTCATTTTGTGGTCAAATATACTTTGTGTTCACTCCCCTTATGCAGCCTACAACCAAACAGAATGGTTCTTAGCAAGGCATTTGTATTCTTCCCTTAAGGAAAGCAACATATAAATAAGAAAGGGAATGAGAAGAAAGAGTGATTTCATTGAGGTTGGTATTTAACATAAATTTGAGTACAGGTACCATGATTATATTTAGAATTTTGTGGCTGGATGGGAAAACCAGCTAGATGTCTATAGATTTCCTACTCAAACACAATGTGCCTTTGTTTTACTTTTACGTCTCTAATTTAGCAATTATTAGGTACAACTGTATGCAGTGTCACTAAAAATACCTCCCAAAACCAAATATTAAATAATGTCTATGGCTTTTTGTTTTATAGTGTTGATTTTCCCAATATTAATGGGAACCACTGAGCATTTGCCTTGTGGTGTCTCCTCAGCTGTATTCACATATTCCATCACCTTTTCTTAATGGATAATCACGCACTATGAGTAAGGGTTTTCAGAAAAGCTGTGTCATTTAAAGATAACACAGGAGCATCAAATTTAATTCTGCTAGGACGCCTGGTCTACTGATTAACTGCAGCTAATATGAGGTCTACTTCACATCCAAGTTAAATTCAGTGCCCTTAATCAGTCATATGATGAGGTCAACAGTAATAAATTATGCAATATTTTTTCACCCACCCCTATAGTTTTAATTTCTTTTTCCCCTTATGTCTGTGTTTAACATTTTGCTTTGCAAAACATGATGATAATCTTCTAGAGTAGTGAGGACAAGCTATAAATCCAAAGTTTCTTACCTATGCAAATGACTTGTTTGCTCTATTTTCTCATGAGCTTGGTAGATCCAGGGAACAGAACTTTTAAAACAAAATCCCCATATGTTGCTGGGTGCGGTGGCTAGTGCCTGTAATCCCAGCACTTTGGGAGGCTGAGGCGGACAGATAACTTGAGGTTGGGAGTTTGAGACCAGCCTGACCAACATGGAGAAACCCATCTCTACTAAAAACACAAAATTAGCTGTTCATGGTGGCACATGCCTGTAATTCCAGCTACTTGGGAGGCTGAGGCAGGAGAATCGCTTGAACCCAGGAGGCAGAGGTTGCCATGAGCTGAGGTCACACCACTGCACTTCAGACTGGGCAGGAAGAGTGAAATTCCATCTCAAAAAACAAAAACAACCACAACCACAACCACAACCACAACAACCACCACAAAACCCAAATGCATTTCCTTGGCACAGTAAAACTGAAACAGAAAAAGGGTAAAGTAAATACAAGTAACTGAAAGAGTTTATGTATATTACTTTACTTCTCATTTGATTGATAAAATTTGTAAAGTAATGAGCAGAGTGTATTTCTCCAGGGACCGAGATATATACATTTATTTATTCAATAGAAATTCATTCTTATAATGGCCACTGATACCTATATCCTAAATATTTCTGAAAACATCTCCTCAGGCCTGCATCATCTTTGCAACATTGCCTTATATTTTATCTTTGTTCATTGATTTATATGCCTCAGAATTTTATGCTCCTCACAGTATTTAGAGTGAATTATCCCTAATGCAAATAGATCCGTGAATCACTCCTGAATACCTAATGTCTAAGCATCTTAAAGGTTTATATAAGGATTTCAGAAACTGACTTCTGGGTTGGGCACGGTGGCTCATGTCTGTGATCCCAGCACTTTGGGAGGCTGAGGCAAGTGGATCATTTGAGATCAGGAGTTCAAGACCAGCCTGGCCAACAAGGTGAAACCCCATCTCTAATAAAATACAAAAATTAGCAGGTGGTAGTGGCACGCGCCTGTAATCTCAGCTACTCAGGAGGCTGAGGTAGGAGAATTACTTGAACCTGGGAGGCCGGGTTGCAGTGAGCTGAGATCATGCCACTGCCCTCCAGTCTGGGAGACAGAGTATAACCTTGTCCCAAAAAAGAAAAGAAAAGGAAACTGATTTCTGCCCAAATCTCCATCTGTATCCCTTTCCCCATCTGCCTTTTTCTCTGGAATTACTGAGTTGCTGGTAATGGCCCCCTCACCATTCCTCTTCTGCAGAGAAATACATACGCTCTTGGAGGCTTCTCTTCCTCTCTTGTTGCTGCCTGGCATGTGCTCACCCTTTCCTGCCCTCTGCCTCGCTTAATCTGGCTAACCTCACTCTCTAAGTCTCAGCTCATGGATGATCTTTAGGAAAGCCATCCCTGACAGCTTCTATTTTCCTTCCTTATTCCCCAGTGCCTAACACTTAGCAGGAACTCAATAAGTAATTATTTAGCAAAATTAAGACTGCTTATACAAAGATGATTCAAAAGATTATCCTCTACAGTCTAGCAGCAAAGGGGTCAACATGTAAAGACATGATGTGCAGGTCAGGTGGTAAAGTGACACTAGAAAAATTGACAAGGTACTAAGGGACCCCAACGAAGCAGACACCTCTGTGTGTGGAGAAAGATACCTAGAATCAAGGAAGATTTCACATAGCATTCTGAGCCTTTTTTTTTTCCTCTTTTTGGAGACAAGTTCTTACTCTATCACCCAGGATTGGAGTGCAATGGCATGATTGAGACTCACTGAAACCTCAGACTCCTGGGCTCGAGGGATCTTCTCATCTAAGCTTCTTGAGTAGCGGGGACAACAGGAACATATCACCATACCTGTCTAATTTTTTGTAGAGTCAAGGTTACCTATGGTTCCCAGGCTGGTCTTAAACTCTTCGCCTTGAGCGATTCTCCCATTTTGGCCTTCCAAAGTGCTGGGATTACAGATGTGAGCTATTATGCCCAGCCTACTTTCTGAGTCTTAAAAGATGAAAATAAATTTTTCAGAATAGCAGGGGAAAACATTTGTGATGTAAAAAATGGGGTGCACACTAATTGAGGTATAAACAACAATAATTTTGCAAATTATTAGTAACTGCCAACTCAATTAGTGTCTTGTTAAAAAGATACTGTTATGAAGTATAATAAAGCATTACGTTGTATATTTTGACTGTATTTCAAATTTCTGTTTTGTTTCCAACAGTTTTGTTGACTTATGTTGGGTGGAACAATTTGTGAGTGACCCTGAGATTTTACATGGCTTGAATCTGGTGATATCTGGTGTCTCCCCAAGTGGTTTGTTGAAGTTTTGGATAATTAGAAGTATTTCTTACAGAAGTAAATATTTCAGTAAACATTGTTTCATTCAAACTCTCAAAATATAAAATACAAAGAAATGTTATTCTCTATTTATTTTTATAAAGATTATAGTCCTTATCTAACTCTTCTTAGTTCATTTGAACTAAATCAATGACTTTGTCAACAGAACAAACCTTACCAGTGGCTTTAGAGGAAGAGCAAGAAAGGTGTGAAAGAAGTGAAAAGAAGCAATCACAGGTATATGAAAATTTAAGTTCTTGTTTAATATTAGGGTTTTTTTTTGCTTTACTAACAAAGCATAGTCCAAATGACATGACCTTTCAGACTATACCTTTAGAATCCAATAGATCATAATTTTATATTTAATTTTTAAAACATCTTAACCAGTTATGAAACTTAAGATATTCTTACTATCTCTAGTAACTATTAGTTATTCTAGTAATTCTTAGTATCTCTAGTAATTCATAGCTGTATTTACCCTTAGAATTGAGGCAAGAAATTTTCAGAATTACCTTGCTGTTTTATTTATATAACCTTACTCATAATACACAAGGTAACATGAAGTATTGGGTCATATTACTGAGGAATAGAAATTATGAACAGTTTAACAACAATGGCCACTGAGTTAAACTAGTGTTAAAGGAGTCATCATTGCCAGTGCTTCAAATGTTGCAGTTTTATATTGCTGGTCACCAGTGCCGAGGTTAAAGATTTATTCTGTTTTGTGGTCACCAGTTGACTTCTGTGTCTGTGTTCAGGGAGTGAATGGGGTCATAAAAGTCAATGCAGTTGCCTATTAAGAGAATCCTACCTTGCAGAATGGGACCTTTGGTGTCAGGGTGTGAACAATAACTTTATTTCAACATAAATACATAGTAAACATTACTGAAATTTAAAAAATCCAAACCCTATCACTACTGGAACTTAAAATATATTAGAAGTGGATATAAGCAGAAATTCTATCTAGATACATAACACTATCATAGTATATCATTTGAATTAGAATTTAAAATTTTACTTCTCTTTCTTATTGGTGTTCAGTTTAGCTCTTAATAATTTAGTGTTTGCCTAGTGCTCTAGTTAATCTTCAGAAATAAACATGCACTGTAGGGGCTCACTCTTTCTGGTATGCTGAGGTAAAGTCTTTGTAAGAGAGGAAGCTTTTATAATACTACCTATCATCTTTGAATTCATTTCTGGTAGATTTTACACAAATGCATTAAGTTTAGTCCAAACAGACAGTGAGAGTTCAGCTTGCTGGTTCATGTTTCTGTCCTATGTTAAGCCAAAGCAAATTATTTTTCACTTTTTAGTTACAATCCCATAATTTAAGAGTAGCAACACATAGATTAAGTTTCACAGTTAAATTTTAATTATTTTCTAATATTTCTTTGTTTATACTTGATTAAAGCTAATTTTAAAACATGCACTCTGACAGAAAAGACATCTGAGAAACAAAACAAGCAAATTTGTTTTCCATTTTGCACCTGCCCCCCACCAAAAAAAGTCTCAAGAACCAGAACTGGGTAAGAACAGTGATAAAGGGAATCAATCTATATATTCATGACTTTCTTTAAAATTCATTACAAACAAGTTCAAGCTGAATATTGGTAAAAGTTCTGAAAACTCCAAAATTACTACTTGCCCTGAGGAAGAGCTCCTACATGGTAACTCTAAAGAGGGATGAACAAAAAAGGAGTGCCCTCTAGTCTGATGAATCATGTCCCTGATTGTGAGGAGAAAAATGTATCTGGAGGGTCTAGCTCTGTGGCAGTCCAGGCAGCGCCTGAACAGAGGAAGCCCATGTCAAATGTCTTTTTATTCCATTCACACTCCAGGTCCCTGAAATACACTTACCAGTCATCTTCTAAGCTTCATTTAATTTAAAATAAATCAGACTATAAAAATGATAACAAACCAGACACACAGCTTGTTTCTAACACAGATGATGGAAATTTTTGTTATGATATAGAAACTGAAAAAGTAAGGAACCCAGTAATTATGATTGAAATGAAAGATGATTAAGAGTTTGACATGCAAATGGAAAAATATATAAACCCAAATACCACTAATTGGAAATTAGGCATTGGTCTCAGTCTAGAGATCCAGAAAGCCTTTTTGATTTGTGGTTTACCCACCCCAAAGAAATGAAGCATATGATTCAGATAGAAAGTCACAGTATTTCTGCTGCTACAGATACTTATAAAAACAGAAAACCAACACAGTGCTTATTCCAGAAGCCGCTGTATGAAAATCCCAGTGTTAATAACTACAAAACCATGAATCTTGAACTATAAAATGCGGGTTATTCTTTGCCACATAGTGAGAGAACATCAAAAATATAGCTAGAAGACTTACAGCAAGATATTTCAAGGTCACCAAGATATCACATATATACATATGTAACAAACCTGCACATTGTGCACATGTACCAGAACTTAAAGTATAATAATAGTAAAAAGAATGAGGTAGGCATGTTACAAGTAGAGCTCCTGGCTTTGGAGAAACAGAAAGTCCAACTTCAAAAAGACAGAGGTTCACTTGCTGCTTCTTTTTTCTCTTTATCAATTATTTGATTTAGTCAAATTTTCTATTCAAGAAAATCTCATGTGTACAGTTACAGCGGGGTTTTCTAAATGTGTAATTATGTGTCAAAGTAGATTAGTCCTGCTATCTAAACAATGGTTCTGGAGAATGTTCTCATAATGTTTCTTCATTAATCAACCTAAGTCTCACTCTCAGTCTTCCAAGTGGCATATGAGCTGGGAAACTAATTCAGCCATATACCACGTGACCTTCTGAATGAGATCAACATAAAGAAATTGCTAAAGAAATAAGCTTTAGATTCTAGATTCTTTTTTCTGTATTCATTTAGAGATGAATTACATTTATTTAATGATAGAATGGGAATACAATGGGAGGGAAGCAATGACTGAGACGAGCCACAAAAACACGTCTAGCCTTGAGAGTTGCAATGAATATTCCCAGCCAAATGAGTCTGTTTAATGTATTTTCATGCATGCAAGTTCATCTGCTTAGCTCAAACTGTTTGAACTTATAGTTCCATCATGGTTATTTCCAATATTTTGAAAACAAATATATACTTCCACATATTTTAAAAAATCACCACTCCAATATTTCTGTTGAATCAGTCCTTACATTATGTTGTTTAATAAAGTATCATAAGTTTTGGCATGTGTGATTTTTATCATGTAAGAAGCATAATTTCTTAGATAAAAATTTATCCTTTGATTCTTTAGTAGAAAGTTGAGTTCTGTACATTGTGTCCTAAAGATAGACAAAATCTAGAGATTTTCTTCTTCAAAGTAAAAGCAGATGAGGCCTTTTTCCACCCTCTGAGGCGTTAAATTGCTTTGCTCAACTTAGACTTTTAATATATCTGACTAATTTGATAAATTTATTTGGTAATTTATGTAATTCAGCAATATGGAATTGTATCATGTTATTTGGTGCCATGAAATGCTAGAGAATGCCACCTCAAGAGCTCTCGATGAAACATTTCATATGTCTTTGTTAGTTTGACTCCCATTTTCAGTAGATAATGGGGCTAAAGTAGATAACTGTACCGTATGTTTTCCACCTATAACTTTTCTGATAATTGAATGTGAAATCTGGGAAGCATGTCGTTTTCCAGAATTCTGCACTGGAAACTCAGCAGTTTCACTCTGCTTCTTGTGTTGTGGCAAACTTTGGTTCCCATAGTTCAGGGAGAACTTTCACTTTTTTGATATCCCAGAATTAAAAAAAAAAAGAGATAAAAGGCAATGGGGAAAAGAATAGCTCAGTGTAGAAAAGGGAAAACTTCTTTACTGTTCCTGAAGCCCTACAAGGTCACATCCTCTTAATCTGGCTATTTCATGTAAAATCCAGGTGGCAATGACAGAAGATATATGTTATGCCTGTGTCTTTTTATTTCTCTGTTTCTGCCAGTCAGATAACATAAATATTTATATCAGATAGCAAAGAGTGGATGGGAATAAAAGCACAAAATGGAGAAGAGTCCTTTTTGAAATTTTGGAAAATTCTTCTATTCACTCAAACAGAAATGAGCAGACTTGACAAAAATTTCAATGATAAAATGATGAGTATCTTATAATTATAATAATTATGTATAATGATAAAATTAAAGTAAGCACAAAATATTTTTATCATTAAAACGGTGATAGTTAACCTGAATCAAGTGAAAAAATCAGGGAAAAACTTCTTTTTATTGAATAAAATAATAATTATTATTCATATTACTTTTGTTAAAGGTCAAAGAAGGAAATAATACAAACAAAAGTGAAAAAATACAACTATCAGAAAATGTATGTCATAGTACATCTGCTGCTGCTGCTGACAGATTAACCCAACAAAGAAATATTGGGAAAACCTATCCTCAGCCTTTTACCAAGAAGCTGAAGGAAGAGCATCATAGGTAAGTAAGCCTATAGCAGTGTTTATTTATTTATTTATTTATTTTTTGAGGTGGAGTTTCTCTCTTCTTGCCCAAGCTGGAGTGCAATGGTGTGTTCTCACCTCACTGCAACCTATGCCTACTGCATTCAAGTGATTCTCCTGACTCAGCCTCCCTAGCAGCTGAGATTACAGGCGTGTACCACCATGCCCAGCTAATTTTTTGTATTTTTAGTAGAAATGAGGTTTCACCATGTTATCCAGGCTGGTCTCGAACTCCTGACCTCAGGCGTTCTGCCCATCTCGGCCTCCCAAAGTGCTGGGTTTACAGGAGTGAGCCACCGTGCCTGGCCACCTATAGCAGTATTTCGCAGCAGACAATTGTCATTGTGCTATAAACTAATTCAAAATTGGACTAATATTCCTTATGATTAACAAGTTTTATATTTTTACCAGAGATATTTAGCCCTGCCTGGTAATCAGAAAAGTGCAAATTAACATAAAATAAGATATATTTTGTAAAGTCATGCTGGTATTGAAAAAGTAATTACTACCATTGGCAAATGTGAGGAAAAAGGCATTCTCATACACTGTTGGTATATGAAATTGGTAAATTATTTCTGAAGGGTAACTTAGTGCTGTGTATCAAAATTTCAAATAACCTGACATCTCTTTAACTCAACAACTCCACTTCTGGGACTAGATTTCACAGGAAAACATAACTTGTGTAAACATACACTTATTAAGGGCATTAATTATATATTACACATAATGAACAATAGCTTAATAAATACATAAAATATATGTAATAAGAAGGTGAATTGGAAGTATTAAGAAAGAATTATAAAAAGTGTGGGGTAACAGATGTTAGACCCTTTAGCCTAGTTTTAGTTGACAATCATCTGCAGATATAGTTTGTGTGAGAGACATCTTACTCTGTAAATCATTTGGAGAGACACCTGCAATATTTCATAAAGATGAAAATTTATTTCTAGTGAACTTATACGCTTGTCAATAAATAGTAACTTTAAAAATTTAGTTGATTGTAAATGACCTTTTCTAATCGGGGAGTAATTATGACTGTGTGATTTGAAAAGGTAATTTTGAAATTCTAACTATACTGAATTATCTCCAGTATCCTTTTTTATAATATATGCTAGAGTGACTAGTAACAAAAACTTCAGCAGAATATTCTTTCCTTACTACTTTTCAAGTATATGCATTCTTTTGAAGATGTTGAAGTGAGAGATTAAATATCTGAGAACTAAACAGGAAAAATAATTCAGAACACAGAAATTTTATTAGGATGATAAAGAGCATCTGCAGAGGTAGATCACAGGATGAACTCTTTATTTTTTAACAAAATGAGTTTTAAGATAAATGTCTTTATCTGCAGATGCATCTTAAGATAAGAAAATAAAGAAAAAACAAATGTTAATATGCTGTACAAAAAAATAGAGAAGAATTAGAAAGGAAAGAGAAACAACATAAGAAAGAAGTTGAAGCAAAGCAACTTGAACCAACTGTTCAATCACTAGAGATGAAAACAAAGACTGCAAGAAATACTCCAAATCAGATAAATCAATCTTTGGTAAAAATTCTATATTTTAAACTATTTTATGAAAGTTTCTTCTAATATTCTCTTGATTTAATATATAATATTTAGATCTAAAACAAACCAGAAATGTTATCTCATTTTTAAAAAATGAATGATGCCACTTACAGGTACAATTATTAATATTTATTATAAATCTTGGCATCCACATAAGATATTATTTTATAACAAAGAGCTTTTGAAAACAATAATATGCCATAGTATATACTTAGTGATAACCTATTGATAAAGATTCTGTTCCCAGTAAAATTGTTCCTTGTACTTTCCCCTATTTCATATTGATTACTGTACCTAATATTATAAAGAGGAAACAAATTATTGCAATCACAAATAATCTCATGATATTCTAAGAAGAGCTCTATAAATTTTATCTTATTTACCATTGGTGTTTTGAAATAAAAGTTTTCTTCCATATGGATATATTTACACCACAGAAGTAACTGTGATATGTCAGAGAACTAGAAGTAGAGTCAGAAGTCCTGGGGAAAATCCTGTAGCTTGCTTATATTTTTAACATTTCTTTTTCAAAATTGTGATAACTAGATGAGTTCATCAATGAATGTATATAGGAGTGACTAGTATAATGTCTAGATTTATGATTTAGTAAATGTAATTCTTACAACTGAATATAAAAGTGTTAAAAGAGTCAAATTGAAATAGAATGTTATCAGCGAAACAGAACTGTAATAACTCTGGGAAATTTTATCTGTCCAAATACGTGTGAACCAAGGTTCTTACTATAGGGTGTTGTATGGGTTAGATATCAAAGTGTAAATGCAATTTTTTGATATATTTTAATTTAGTCAAATTTGTTAATGCTTTAATTTATGCTTTTCAGTTTGTTGTAATTCAAGGAAAGGCTTTTCCAATTCTGAAATTCTTAAAAATTCTCTGGTTTGTGTGTGTGTGTGTGTGTGTGTGTGTGTGTGTTTACTTTTATAAATTCATTGACTTTAAATAAATTTCTGAACTTTTTGGAATTTATGCTCTATAAGGTTCAAAGTGTTGCTTCAACTTTGTCTCCAGTTGGATATCCACTTACAGTAACCTTTTTAGTGTATGGATGTGCAGGTTATTCTTTAACTTCAGAGGTAATCACGATATTTTATTGAGTACTAGCTAAAACTTTCTTTAGTTTTATTTAGGATTTTCATAATCACGAAGAAATGAAAGATCTGATGGATTAAAATTGCATTTTGAATACAGATATTGCTATATTCAGACAGGAAATGTGCACAATGAAAAATGACAACCTGGAAAAAGAAAATAAATAACTTAAGGAAGTTAAAATTGTTAAAGAAACAAATGCTGTCCTTGAAAAGTATATAAAACTCAATGAGGAATTGATAACAATAACAGCATTCCGGTATCAACAAGAGCTTAATGATCTCAAAGCTGAGAATACAAGGCTCAGTTCCGGACTGTTGAAGGAAGAAGAAAGCAACAAAAGACTGGAAGCTGAAACTGAATCTTATCAGTCTAGACTGGCTGCTTCTATAAGTAAACACAGTGAAAGTGTGAAAACAGAAAGAAACCTAAAACTTGCTTTAGAGAGAACTCAAGATGTTTCCGTACAAGTAAAAATGAGTTCTGATATTTCCGAAGTAGAAGATAAGAATGAGTTTCTTACTGAACAACTTTCTAAACCACAAATTAAATTCAATACCTTAAAAGATAAGTTCCTTAAGACAAGAGATACTCTCAGAAAAAAGTCATTGGCTTTAGAAACTGTACATAACAACCTAAGCCAAACACAGCAGCAAATAAAGGAAATGAAAGAGATGTATGAAAATGCAGAAGCTAAAGAGAATAATTCCACTGGAAAGTGGAGCTGTGTAGAAGAGAGAATATGTCAACTCCAACATGAAAATCCGTGCATTGAACAGCAACTAGATGATGTTCATCAGAAAGAGTATCATAAAGAGATAATAACTAATATCCAAAGAAGCTTTATTGAGAGTGGAAAGACCTCATGCTAGAAGAGAAAAATAAGAAGGTAATGAATGAATGTGATCATTTAAAAGAAAGTCTCTTTCAATATGAGAGAGAGAAAGCAGAAAGAGTAGTAAGTATCAAGGAAGATAAATATTTTCAAACTTCTAGAAAGAAAATTTAAACATTTGGTTCTGGATACATGTTGAACTTAGTTGAATATAAAAATCAATAGATAAAAAGTGTGTTTACCATACTGTATAATTCCATGTACGTGAAGCATCCAGAAAAGATAAACGTATAGGGACAAAAAGTAGATTAATATTTGCAAAGGGCTGGGACTAGAAGCTGGTAGTGACTGCTAATGGGCATGAGGGATCTTGCAGTGATGGAAATGCTGTAAAGTTGGATTGTAGAGATGGCTGCACAACTCAGTAAATGGACTAAAAATCTTTTAACTTTAAGTTAAAACAGATACATTCTATAGTATGTAAATTATATTTCAACAAAGCTGTTTTAATAAAAAAAGGAAAAATGTGTTTACTATATCAGCTTAGAAACATGCCTCATTTCTAGGAAATAAAAGGTAGAGATGAGAGATGATTTACTTTGAGAAAAGACATTGTGTCACCTATGAAATTTTATTAGGCACAGAGTCATATTTTAAGATAGATAGTTCTGTACTGCTGAAATAATTTTAATGACTTTATGTTGCCACATGTTAAGACCATAATGTAGGTATAAATGGAAATGTTTACACCTGAAATGAGTATTTTCAAATTAAAATTTAATTAAGTGATTTCCTTCGACACTTAATTCTAGACTTCCCAGATGAACTGAAGTGTATTGCTGTGTCTTGTAATACCTTGCTTTAAGTAGTTTTTTATGTGTTTTTTTTTTTTGGTATATCTTTGTTATTATTCATATTAATTTTAAAAATCTGAAAATACTTCAAATTACATATTTTTATGACTACGTAATGTTGTAAAGGCACCTACATGTCATAAAATCATAATTTAGAATGAATGTAATAATTAGCAAAACTATGTTTGATTTAGTTTTGCCACTGGTATTTATAGTTTACTTTGACTATTTATATTAATAATTAGCTCATAATTTTTATTTCAAGGCTCAATGACTATCATTGGAATATAATTTTGTTCAGTACAAAGATACTTGTAGCTGCCTGTGATTTATGAGTAAGGCATTAGATCCCCATTTTCAGACTGAGGGGTGGCAGGCTTCATGTACAGTGGGAATGGAGTAATTACAGGAAGGAGTTGTAGGAGCTTTGAAGTCAGAGAGGGAGGTAGAGGACTGTTTACCTAGGGCCTCAAAGGCCATTGGAATTTCACTTTTATCCTGAGATAGGAATCTGTTGGAAGGATTTGAAAAGGTGATTGAATATGTTAGGAACTTTGAGGTTGAGTTGAGCTTCTAAGATGATTGAATGGTGGGATGAACCTGTTGTGTAAGTAAGAGAATACCAATTTGGCAGGGAGTTAAATATTATTAACATAATTTAATAATAAGGCAATTTATAAAATCAGTAACAAAAATATTTTCTCAGGTGGTTGTGAGACAACTTCAACAAGAAGCGGCTGACAGCCTAAAAATATTAACTACGTTAGAGTCTCCACTGGAAGGTATGTCACATTATCACATTAATTTGGATGAGACACAGGCCCCAAAGAAGAAATTATTTCAAGTGAAAAGTCAAGTGTGTATGGAATTTAACATGTCAACTCTTATTCTGTAGCTAGTTGAGTTTATATAACGTGTTTTAGGATACTAATTTTGGCAGAAGCTTGATTTTTTAGTTTCATTACAATGAATTATTTCCATTTTACTATCTTTATAATGTACTTATTTTTTTATATTGTGACTTTCATTCTACCATTTTGAAAAACCATTGCATACCTTTTCTGTTACAATATGTACCCTTGGAAAAGTGGAGAATTATATATCATTCCTCATAGAAAACTTACTTTTTTCCTGTAAAAACAGTATTTTTAAGTAATTTTTGTATTGTTCTGATGAGGCAGGCCAGATTAAATCAGAGGAGAATATTTCATGGAAAGTTCCAGAAAGTTGTCTTATTTCTTCACTTTCGTGAATGGACACAGAATCTGTGTCTATTTATTTCACAGATTGCAGGTTAACTTGTACAGAAAGGCCATTATACTATTCTTTGAAATGTGCATGTTTTAGGTTAATTTACAAACTATTTGAAAATTTAGGCATTTTCTTTATCTTTAATTTAAAATATACTATAAAACTCTAAAAATATTTAGATTTGATATAGCATGTAAGTCAAAAATTGAGAGTTGAGAAAATTATCTTGATCCTGCCTTTGGATTTTAAAAACAGTTTCACTGAGATATCATTCACATTTGAGAGAGTTCAACCATTTAAAATGTACAACTGAGTATCTATTAGTATATTCACAGCATTTTCATCACCCTGAAAAGCAACCCCACATCTCCTAGGCATGACTGCAGCCTTCCTCCATGTCCCTCCACCTACCTCTGTTGTAGGCAACCACCATCTATCTACTTTTGTCTCCATATATTTACCTGTTCTGTATATTTCGTATACATAGCGTTATACAATATGTAGTCCTTTGTGACTGGCTTTTTCACTTAGCATAATGCTTTCAGAATTCATGCATGTTTTAGCACACATGAGTAGTTTATTTCTTCTTATAGTTAAATGATGTACTATTCCATGGCTATACTGGTTTTCCATTCATTCATCAGTTGATGGACCTTTAAGTTAGTTTCCACTTTTTAGCTATTATGAACAATGCTGCTGCGAACATTCACTTACAGGTTATTATGTGGACACGGGTTTTTATTTCCCTGCCATTGGACTTTATCCTCAGAGTTAATTGGGCAGATTTCAGCACTTGTCTTGCTCATGCTATCCTTTCTGCCTTCTCAGTTTCTGTTCATCTAGCCTCATTCACTCAGACGTGGCAGACAATTTATTGTTTTCATGAAGCTTTCTCTGACTGTTCTCTCTTTGACCTTATGTGTTAGCAATCGTTGTCTAGTCTGTGCAGAAAAACTTAGTCCTTAATTTTACATGGCTTTTATTTTTTTATGGAAGATAATTTTCTCTCATTATAAATTTGCTTAATGGGGGAATAGTATCTAATATGTATGTCACCTATCCTTGCATACATTGAAAATATTTTAGCTTAGAAGTTTGTAGCATAGAATTCAATACTTCTTTATACCATACCAATTATTTATTCTTTGAGACCTTGACACAGTAAGGTTTATATTCTAAGTGTATTTTTAGCAATTAAATATCAAAGCCAACCCAATTAGTCTAATACAGGAGACTCGTTCAATCACATGTTTATGTTTTTCTCTCTATGAAAAAGAATCTAAATTGGCCTTTTTTCACTATGCAGCAGAACTGTGTTTCTGGACCTCTACCAGTTTGTCAGCTGAGCAGTTCTGGCTGCAGCTTGTCTGTTGACGGATAGCACAGCCCCTCTATCTGAGTGCTCAGCAGAGTGCTTGTGAAGGCAGCACCACAGCAACAGTTGCTCAGAGCGAACGGATTCAGGAGCCTCAATTTAGCAATAGAGTCCAGGGTTTTCAGCTCAGTGTCTTTAGCCTGTCTCTGCTGGTCATGTCAGTTATGTTCTATTCAATCCAGGAGGTGCTGTTTACGTTGTAGTACATATATAGTCATTGCCTAATGAGTCATACAGAAAGAAAAGTAAGTTATAAATTATGTCCCCCATTTGCTGCAACTCTCAGTGGTAAGAATGATTCAGTGCAGCTATAGGAGAATACTTCCATTGGCATGCCACCTGCCTAACTTACACAATTTTGTTAAGATATGCAATAAAATTATTATGCTAATAGCAAATATTTTATGTAGCTCACTATGTTCCACGTAGTCTTCTAAGTGCTTCATGTTAGTCCCAAGTTAAACACCTGGTTTTGGAAGGCTGAGGCAGGAGGATCGCTTGAGCCCAGGAGTTTGAAACCAGCCAGAGCAATATGGTGAGACCCAGTCTCTAAAAAAAAAAAAAAAAAAAATTAAACACTTAGCTGAGGCATGGTGATGCATGCCTATAGTCCCAGCTACATTGGGAGGCTGTGGTAGGAGGGTCGTTTGAGCTTGGAATATTGAGGCTGTAGTGAACGGTGATCAAGCCACTGCACTCCAGGCTGGGTAACAGAGGGAGACTCTGTCTCATAAATAAAACATTTTCTATAGATTCCCATAGAAGTGAGTTAGACATCAGTCATAGAATTATTAGCCACTTTGATGTCTACCTTGGGAGTAAAACATATAATAAGGGGCAGCTTTAAACCATCTCAATCAATAGCCTCCAACTTCTTGAGAAGGTTCTTATTTCATGAACTTCTAAACAAGAGACTACCTGGATTAAGACATTTGGTGGACACCATTTTGAGATGAAGAATCTTGAGTGAGAAGAAGGGAGATCTCTACTTACTGAAGCTTCCCAATGACATAGTTAAGTGTCCCCCAAAAGAAACTATAGAACAAGACTTTCATCATGCCACATCTCTATGGAAAAGGAATTTCTTTAAAAGAAAATAAAGGCAAACAATTGATAATCTGATTCTCATGGGAAAGTTTTCATTATAAAAGAAAAAGAGTGCTGGGTGCCGTGGCTCACGTCTGTAATCCCAACACTTTTGGAGGCTGAGGTGGGTGGATTACCTGAGGTCAGCGGTTCAAAAACAGCCTGGACAACATAGTGAAAACCTGTCTCTACTGAAAATACAAAAATTAACCAGGTGTGTTGGTGTGCACCTGTAGTCCCAGCTACTTGGGAGGCCGAGGCAGGAGAATCACTTGAACCCAGGAGGTGGAAGTTGCAGTAAGCCGAGATGGTGCCACTGCACTCCAGCCTGGATGACACAGTGTGACTCCATCTCAAAAAAAAAAAAAAAGAAAAAAAGAAAAACAAAAAAGGGACAAAGTATACTGGTCCAAAAAAGAAGAAAGCAAGAAAAAAAGGACAAAGTATACTGGTTAGTATCATAACAGTGAGATAGTCCCCCTTTGAGATTAGACAATAACAGTATACTCAAAGTAACATTAATGAGAACCAACATAAAATACACAAGATTCACTATCTACAAAAGTAATCTGCACCAATTAGCAATGTATGAGCATGTGGTTGAGAATATTGTCTATAATATGTGTACTAGAAGGAAGAGACCTCAAGAAAATGGTCAGAGCTGGAAATGTAGATTTGGGAATCTAGGTCAAAGTTTTGAGATTTTAGGAGTCCTGAGAGAATTTAAAAAGAGAATTAGCCACCAGGCATGGTGGGCCACACCTGTAATCCCAGCACTTTGGGAGGCCAAGGCAGGCAGATCATGAGGTCAGGAGTTCAAGACCAGTCTGACCAGCATAGTGAAACCCTGTCTCTACTAAAAATACAAAAAATTAGCTGGACATGGTAGCACATGCCTGTAATCCTAGCTACTTGGGAGGCTGAGGCAGGAGAATCGCTTGAACCCAGGAGGTGGAGGTTGCGGTGAGCCAAGATCATGCCACTGCACTCCAACCTGGGTGACAGTGGGAGACTCCATCTCAAAACAAAAAACAAAAACAAAACAAAAAACCAGAAAAGGACAGGGCTGAAGAATAGAGGTTGCTAAATTTAGAAATGAAGTGGGGTCAGAGGAATAGAAAGGGACAGGGCTGAAGAACACAGGTCGCTGCATTTAGAAAGGAGGCGGGGTCAGAGGAATAGAAAGGGATAGGCCTGAAGAACACAGGTCGCTGCATTTAGAAAGGAGGCGGGGTCAGAGGAATAGAAAGGGATAGGCCTGAAGAACACAGGTCGCTGCATTTAGAAAGGAGGCGGGGTCAGAGGAATAGAAAAGGACAGGGCTGAAGAACAGAGGTCGCTGCATTGAGAAAGGAGGCGGGGTCAGAGGAATAGAAAGGGATAGTGCTGAAGAACAGAGGTCGCTGCATTGAGAAAGGAGGCGGGGTCAGAGGAATAGAAAGGGATAGTGCTGAGGAACAGAGGTCGCTGCATTGAGAAAGGAGGCGGGGTCAGAGGAATAGAAAGGGATAGGCCTGAAGAACACAGGTCGCTGCATTTAGAAAGGAGGCGGGGTCAGAGGAATAGAAAGGGACAGGGCTGAAGAACACAGGTCGCTGCATTTAGAAAGGAGGCGGGGTCAGAGGAATAGAAAGGGATAGTGCTGAAGAACACAGGTCGCTGCATTTAGAAAGGAGGCGGGGTCAGAGGAATAGAAAGGGATAGGGCTGAAGAACAGAGGTCGCTGCATTTAGAAAGGAGGCGGGGTCAGAGGAATAGAAAGGGACAGGGCTGAAGAACAGAGGTCGCTGTATTTAGAAAGGAGGCGGGGTCAGAGGAATAGAAAGGGACAGGGCTGAAGAACACAGGTCGCTGCATTTAGAAAGGAGGCGGGGTCAGAGGAATAGAAACGGATAGGGCTGAAGAACAGAGGTCGCTGCATTTAGAAAGGAGGCGGGGTCAGAGGAATAGAAAGGGACAGGGCTGAAGAACACAGGTCGCTGCATTTAGAAAGGAGGCGGGGTCAGAGGAATAGAAAGGGATAGTGCTGAAGAACAGAGGTCGCTGCATTGAGAAAGGAGGCGGGGTCAGAGGAATAGAAAGGGATAGGCCTGAAGAACACAGGTCGCTGCATTTAGAAAGGAGGCGGGGTCAGAGGAATAGAAAGGGACAGGGCTGAAGAACACAGGTCGCTGCATTTAGAAAGGAGGCGGGGTCAGAGGAATAGAAAGGGATAGGGCTGAAGGACACAGGTCGCTGCATTTAGAAAGGAGGCGGGGTCAGAGGAATAGAAAGGGACAGGGCTGAAGAACACAGGTCGCTGCATTTAGAAAGGAGGCGGGGTCAGAGGAATAGAAAGGGACAGGGCTGAAGAACACAGGTCGCTGTATTTAGAAAGGAGGCGGGGTCAGAGGAATAGAAAGGGATAGGGCTGAAGAACACAGGTCGCTGCATTTAGAAAGGAGGCGGGGTCAGAGGAATAGAAAGGGATAGGGCTGAAGAACAGAGGTCGCTGCATTTAGAAAGGAGGCGGGGCAGAGGAATAGAAAGGGACAGGGCTGAAGAACAGAGGTCGCTGCATTGAGAAAGGAGGCGGGGTCAGAGGAATAGAAAGGGATAGACCTGAAGAACACAGGTCGCTGCATTTAGAAAGGAGGCGGGGTCAGAGGAATAGAAAGGGACAGGGCTGAAGAACAGAGGTCGCTGCATTGAGAAAGGAGGCGGGGTCAGAGGAGCAGAGGGAGCATTTGGTCACTGCTCTGCTGAGTACAGCAGGATAAAGTCCTTCATGACCCTTGGACTTTTTTATTGGGATTATTAAAAATCAGATTTCAGTATAAAAAACACCATAATTGATGAAAAATAGATTTCTGAATGAGACCATGTGCCATAGAGTCTAATGGAAGGGGAGAAACACGATAATAGAAAAGCCACAAAAAGTAGACAAAAGTTGTTTTTATTATAGAAAAATATACTTTATTTAAAGAGAAATGGTTAAGAGAAAGGGAAAAACTGAAACCTATGGGTGAATACTTAGAATGACAGTATTTAGCTCAACCTGAAGACAGATGAGGATGAAAAATGTAATGGGAACTAGATAAGAGTTTTTTAAAAATTGTCTTAGTAAGATGTAATTTAAGAAAACTTGGAATATCTTAAACTATTAAAGACAATATTTCTAGAGCATGTTTAAAAACTAAAATGTAAATATAACTGCTCTTTTTTTTTAACTAACCCTTAGTATTTTGAGTGTAAAAACCCTCATTTGTAACAAACATTGTTGGCAGTTTAAATTTCAGAAAAGATAACGATGAAAATTTGAAACACTTATAGCAGTTTTAAGAAAAGTGACTATTTTTGAGATCTGCCCTTATTGGCATCAGGTTTACAAAATGCACTTTATACACCTGCTTAAATACATATTACTCATCCACTTATGAGAAATAATATTTTTGAGATAAAAGAGGGACTCTAGATTTTACAAAAATAATTTTAAACACTTTTTTAAGCCTGAAGAAAAAAATGAAGAATTAAGAAAACTTTTTGAGTTAATATCATCACTGGAGTACAATGTGGATCGAATAAGAAAGAAAAGTCATGATTTAGAAGAAGAAGCAACTGGGCATGGATGGTTTTCATATTGTAGAACATGTTAACCACTTATTAATTGATTTAACTCTAATTTTACTTGACTAAAACCTAGATACAAATTCATTTTAAGTTTGCATTTTCATAATTAAATGAATTCTATTTTAAAATGTATTTCAGAAACTCACAGCACAACTTTTTAGATATGTGTGTCATGGGGGCGGGAGTCAGCTGAGCTGCTGGGGCAAGGTGAAATTTTTTTTGAATGCCAAAATATTTTTTTTTCTTTTTGAGAAAGAGTCTGGCTCTGTTTCCCAGGCTGGAGTGCAATGGCACGGTCTTGGCTCACTGCAACCTATGCCTCCAAGCAATTTTCCTGCCTCAGCCTCCTGAGTAGCTGGCATTACAGGCATGTGCCACCACTCCCAGCTAATTTTTGTATTTTTAGTAGAGATGGGGTTTTGCCAAGTTGATCAGGCTGGTCTTGAATTCCTGACCTCGTGATCTGCTGCCTCGGCCTCCCAAAGTGACGTGAGCCACCATGCCCGGCCACTTATTCTTTCATGATTTTGAAAACAATGACCAAGCCTTGGACATATAATGTCCAGTGCACTCTTCATTATCTAGTTTGAATTTTTATTTCTGAAGATATGTTTTGCTGTCTGTGGTCATTTTTTCTTCCTTTTGTAGTACCCTCTGCTGCATTCAAATTCCTTAAAGAAGACTTGTTTGTGTCATTCTTTAACATCAAATTTATCTTGATATGTAGCTTATATTTTGTTTCTGCTTCTTTTTCTTTTAGATATAAAACATATCATGGAAATTTACTCATTGTAGATGAGTACCTCTGTTGTATACATGAAGTATACATGTTATTAAACTTGTTTTACATAAATAAATTTCATATATATAAATATATGTATAACTTGAAGAAAAAGTAAAATGAACATTTATGTTTTGATCACAGATTTTTTTTAAAACAACGGAATCTGTCTTTGAAGCCTTGAACACAGCTACTTTTCTATTTATTTACTGAGCACTTAATTTGGTTTTCTGATTCGAATCAACATTTTTCTGTCATTGCCTTTCTCTACATGGTTTTGTGTCTGTTTAATTTTGTTGACATTATGTCAGCAAAGATGTCTAGATCTCTTCTTCAAAGTCTTTAAATCGTCACACATCTCTCCGCCCCTTTCCTTTTTTCTAAAACTGCCTGTTTCCTTTTTCTCTTCAACTCAGATATTAAAGATGTTTTCTTCTCTTTTTCTACATTGAAAGATCTCCTTGATGCTTTTTGTGTGTACTTTTTTTTCTCTGATAGACTGTGATCAATGCATATCAAAATGTATTTTTTGTCTTTTTCAAACGTATGTGTTTTACTTTTTTATCTTGGTTACTTATCTCTGGGTTATGGCTTATATTTAGTAATAGGTTATTTTACCTAGCATACCAACATGGATATGAGTAGTTTATTTACAAAAAGTGTACAGTTAGGCCAGGTGTGGTGGCTCACACCTGTAATCCCAGCACTTTGGGAGAGCAATGTGGGTGGATCATTTGAGGTCAAGAGTTCAAGACCAGTCTGACCAGTGAAACCTCATCTCTACTAAAAATACAAAATGAGCCAGACGTAGTGGTACACACCTGTAATCCCAGCCACTTGGGAGGCTGAGACAGGTGAATCACTTGAATTCAGGAGGCAGAGGTTGCAGCGAGCTGAGATCACTGCATTGCACTTTGGCCTGGGCAACAAGAATGAAATTCCATCCAAAACAAAAAAAACAAAACAAAAACACTGTATGTTTATAATATCACTTTACCTGCCATATATGACATAAAATTGTTCTTCATATTATTTATCTAAGATTATAATTTCATATAGAATGCTTTTAAACTATGTTCAGTTGAAACTGAAAGGAACATAGTTTATAGATTTGTTTCCTTGATATGCCATAACATATATTTAAACAATTATTAAATATTTACTCTTAAAAATACTTGACTTACTAATTCTGTACATTTCTGCAGATATAAACGCCTCCTGGAAATGACAATAAATAAGTGAAATGTATTTGGAAATGAAGACTTTGGTTGCCATGGAGACTTAAAAACAGATCAACTGAAAATGGATATTCTGATTAAGAAGCTAAAACAGAAGGTAATTTAAAAAAAATTATTTTATCTTAAGGTCTAGATTACGTGTGTGAGATGTGCGGGTTTGTTATATAGGTAAACATGTGCCATGGTGGTTTGCTGCACCTATCAATCAATCACCTAGATATTAAGCCCTGTGGGCATTAGTTATTGATGTTGATACTCTCCCTCCTGACCCCAACAGGCCCCAGTGTTTGTTGTTCCCCTCCCCGAGTCCATGTGTTCTTATAGTTCAGCTCCCACTTATAAGTGAGAAGATGCAGTGTTTGGTTTTTTCTTCCTGCAGTAGTTTGCTGAAGATATCAGCTTCGGGTTCATCCATATCCCTGCAAAGAGCACGATCTCATTCATTTTTATGGCTCCATAGTATTCCATGGTGTATATATACCACATTTTCTTTATCCCATTATCACTGATAATGTCCACCTGGGTTGATTCCATGTCTTTACTATTGTGAATAGTGCTGCAGTGAACATACAAATGCATGTATCTTTATAATAGAATAATTTATCTTCCAATGTATGGTAATTTTAAATCAGTTTTGGTATTAAAAATCATGCATTTTGGAAAATATTGATAATGGAAAAACCCAAATTCTGCCAAAATATGTTGATAAAATAGAGGGTAAATATATCTTTTCAAACTTTAAATGCCTCAGGCTCTTAGTTAATCTTCCCCAGATCTGGGAAGACCTAGAAGGGGAGAGATTGGGCTACCTTAATGAGGGCCATTTCAATCTCTTGGCCTGCAGCAGCCATTTCAAAATACGTCAAAAAATATATTTGGGGGTAAAATATTTTGATTTCCTTCAGCCTCTTCTCTCTGTGATGCTGCACCAGAATCAGATTAGAAAGGAAGCCACATTATAAGTGTTAATAAAACCCATCTGATGAGATTTGATAGTTTGAAGGGTGTGTTTCCCAGACCCTTTAGATAGAAATTGGGGCCAAAGAAAACAAGGTCTTATTCCTCTATATAAATCTGTCAGTGCTTTAAGCAGTGAAAGAAAGATTTTTCATTTAATTTTACAGACTTGATACTAATGAAAAGGATAGCTTGTAAAATATAAATCTCTTTTTCTATAAAAAGGACATGTTGTTGATTCTCTTAGACCTTGAACCCTGGCCAGTGATTTGAAACCAAGCAGTACCTATCTCCGGATCTCTAGTACCAAATTAATTCGGGGTGGGGGGGTAACAGGTTTATTGAGAAATAATGAACACACCATGCAATTCACTCATTTAAAGTATACAATTCATTAACTTTAGTATTTTCAGAGTTATGCCGTCATCATTACAATTAATTTTAGAACATTTTCATCACCCTAAAAACAAACCCCACATCATTTAGCCATCTTCACTAGTTTTCCCTTCCTCCCTCAGCCCTAGGGAACCACCCAGCTTCTTTGTATAGATTTGCCTATAAGCCTCTGAAATAAAAAGCAAGTGGTCTGCTGGGACTGGCTTATTTCACTTAGCATAATTTTTCATGCTGCATCTGTGCTGTAGCAGGTATAGATGTCGGGTTTTTGCTCCTTAGTTCAGCTACATCTGGGTTCTTCTCTCGTGACCAGGAAAAATTAAGCATGCAGACACATTGAGGAGGGCAGAATTTATTATGTGAAAGGACAGCTCTCAGCAAAGAGAGGGGTCCTGCAAACAGGTTTCCACCTCACAATTGAATACCAGGAGCACATGAGCTGAAGCGGCCAGGCTCCTCCTCTGCATAAGGCGTGAATTCCTGGTGACTCCACCCCATCCCCCCACTGCATGTGGGCCTCCGGTCTGCTGCGGGCATGTCCAGGCAAGACAAGTCCAGCTTCCCTTATCTGCACATAACATCTGGTGTAAACACTTGTGGAGCTGGTTGGAGATTTTCCGGGCACCCTTCCGTATCTGCCTAGGCATTTTGCTGTCTCCTCCTAATACGGTATCTGTACTTAATTTCTTCTTATTGCTGAGTAATAATCCATTGTATGGATACATCAAACATTTTATTTATCTATTCGCCAGGTGATGGGACCTTTGGGTTCTCTCCCACCCAAAGGTGACAGACGTTCTGGTTCTTTCCACCTTTTGACTACTATTAATAATGCTGCTGTAAACATTTATGTATGAGTTTTTGTGCTTGTGTATGTTTTTATTTTTCTGGAGTATATACTTATGACTGGAATTTCTGTGTCATATGGTAACTTTATGCTTAACCCTTTAAGGAGCTGCCAGTTTGTTTTCCAAAGTGGCTGCATCACTTTACATTCCCAGCAGCATTAGTTAAGGGTTTTAATTTCTTTACATTTTTTTCTAACCCTCTTTTTTCTTGAACAAAGATTTTATCCTGTGGTGTGAAGTGATACCACATGTGGTTTTGATTTACATTTTCCTAATGACTAATTACATTAAGCATCTATTAATGTGCTTATCCATCTTTATATCTGCTTTGCAGATATATCTATTCAAAATCTTTGACCATTTTTTAAAATTGGCTTATCTTGTTATTTATTAATTGCAAGAGTTATTTATATTTCCTATATATGTAAGTCCCTTATCAGATACACGCTTTTCAAATACTTTCTTCTACTTGGCGTCTTACCTTTTCACTTCTTCATACTGTCTTCTGAGGCACAGCAGTTTTCAATTTTGAAGTCCATTGAATCCATTTTTCCTTTGGAGTCATAGCTAAGAAAACACTGGCAAATGCTGTCACAAAGATTTATGCCAGTGTTTTCTTCTGAGGGTTTTATAGTTTTAGCTTTTACAGTTAACTATTTTATTTTGAGTTAATTTTTAAATAAGATATTTGGTCGAACTTTATTTATTTTTTCTTATGGATACCCAGTTGTCCCAGCACCATTTGTTGAAAAGACTATTCTTTTCCCATTGTGTTCTTTCGTTAAGTTTGTATAAAATCAATTGATTGTAAAAGTGCAAGCTTATTTTTAGATTGTGAATTCTTAGCTTCTTTATGTCTATTCTTATGTCAAGGCCCAATCGAATTGAATGAGAAGTTTTTTTCAATCATGTTGCATATTACCAGTTGTCTTATGTCATAATAAAAATTAAATTTAGTGGAATATCTGTAACTTCACCTTTTGTGTCACAAAGGAGTCTCTGGCCAGCTTATACCTTACTTCGTCTAAGACATGATCAGACGCCAGGCTTACAAGACACATTTAATTTCTTTTTTTCTCCATTCAAGCCTTTAGTCTCTTTTCCATTGCCTCCCGCTATAGTTATATTTTCAGTAAGTTTTGGTCGCAGGATCTGCTGACATAGTCTAATATTTAGTGCATTATGTTTTACTAACTCATTATAATTCATAGAACCTTCCATAGATGTTTACCATCGAGGAAGGAGAAGTTTAAGTCTGAACCACCAGCTTTCCTCAGTGGAAATCAAGTGAAGTCATCATCTTGCAGTTTACAGACCCTCTTTCCTCCTGGTAGCTGGTTCTCTTGGGTAGTACTGTAGCTAATCCTTTTCTTAGTGCAGATCTTGCATTCTCAGAGACCACAGTTCCCTGTATTGACCTCCTTTTACTGAAACAGAGATGCACAGCTCTGCTTTCTAGCTCAGTAGAGGATTCTTGGAATAAAACGTTTAACTCATTCCAAGAAAAAGTCTTAGGAGTGCAGCACTTCAAAATCAGGTAATGTTCAGGCAATTTATCAGAGACACATAGTAGGTTAGTATTTTGACTTTCAAAATTTCGGAGCCAAGTTGTGTGCTATAGAGGAGCATTGTGGCATAACATAGAGATGGGATGGTCTTAACTTCTCCATACAAACAAGCTTGGAGTAAGGTAAAGGAGAAATTGCATTTGATGTCTTAACACTCAAAACACACTATGCTTATTTTACTTCTGTGAAGACTAAAAATCATTCCATAATCTCCTTATTTGCTCATTTAGAAAAGAAAATGAAAATTGAATACTAGGTTGATTAATAAACACTCAAAGCTTCTTCTTTTAGAATTTTAGTTAATTGAAATCAGGTAAATGTCTGATTTTGCCTATGTCACCAAGTATCTCTAGTTGTTTTTCAAATCATACATCTTCTTGCTTCCCAATCTTATTTCCTAACTTGAGGGGAAATTGTAAGGAGACATCCTTGCCTTGTTATCAGAGTTCATAATTGAAGGAGTTTTAGGAAAATTCCTCCTCAGCAGCTTATGTCTCTCTCCTGGTTATCTGCTGCTTCTCAATAATGTTTGACATCAATAAATAAATCTCAACATTTATTAGATCCTACTTTAAAGGAGACTTTTCTGCTGCATAAGTTATGTTTCCTGTTGTCTCTTTTTAAAAGTTATTTTTCTAACAATTACCCAGAGTCTTGTGGCTTGAAAGAAAAACATTTATTTTGTTCATGAACCTGTGGTTTGGGAAAAACTTGGCCAGAACAGCTTGTCTCTGCTCCCTTCAGCTTCCCTAGGAAGAGCTGATCAGTTGGGGAAATGGAATCCTCTGAAGCTTTGGTCACCCACTTGTTTGATGGTTGATGCTGGCCATCGGCTGTAAACTTGGTTGGGACAGGCAGCATGAACACTGACACAGGCACTTTCAGGCTCTCACAATTGGGGCTGGGTTCCAAGGGAAAACAGTCTGAGATAGGGAAGCCACATGGTATCCCTTTCACTACATTCTACTCATTAGAAGGAAGTCAGTAAGGCTGGCCCATATTCTGCTTTTTAAATGGGATGAATGTAGCTTCTCTTTTGTTTTAATTGACACATATATACATAATTATGGGCTATAGAGTGATATTTTTATACATGTATATAGTGTGTAATGATCAAGCTAACTAGCACATTTACTACTTCAACCATTTTTCATTTCTTTGAATTGTGAACATTCAAAATCTTCTGGCTTTTTAAAAATATACAATAAGTCGTAGTTAACCATATTCACCCTACAATGCCACAGAACACCAGAACCCACTCCTCTTATCTAACTGTAATTCTGTATCCATTAACCAGCCTCACCTCCCCTACTTCTGTGAGCTTTTTTTTGTTAAGAGACAGGGTCTTGCTAGTGTAGTCTGGGCTCTGGGCAACTGTAGTCACCCAGACTGGAGACAGTGGTTTGATCATAGTTCACTGCAGCCTCAAACTCTTGGGCCCATCTGATCCTCACACCTCAGCCTCCTGAGCAGCTGGCATTATGGGCATGCACCATTGCACATGTCTGATTTTTGACTTTGTAGAGATATCTCCCTATGTTTCCCAGGGAGCTCTGGAACTTTTGGCCTCAAATGATTCTCTTGCCTTGGTCTTACAAAGAGCTAGGAAATTACAGGCATCAGCCATATTGCCCAGCCTTCAATTTTCCTTTAGCTCCCACACATGAGTAAGAATGTGCAGTATTTATCTTTCTGTGTCTGCACTTAACATAACATCCGTCAGACTGATCCACGTGGCCACGAATAACAGGATTTAATTCCTTTATACGGTGAATACTATTCCACTGTGTTTGTGTGCCACAGTTTTTCGTCCATTCATTTGGTGATGGACATGTAGGTTGATTCCATACAGAAGCTGTTGTGGATAGTGCTACAGTAAACATATGAGGACAGGTATCCTTTTGATCTATTGTTTTCTTTTCTATTGCCTGAATACCCAGTAGTGGGGTTGCTGGATCCCTCGGCAGTCCCATTATTAGTTTTTTTGAGAAAACCTCCTGTTGTTCTCTATAGTGGCTGCACTAATTTACCTTCCCACCAACAGCATGTAAGAGTTTACTGTTCTCTGGAGCCTCACGAGCATTTGTTATTTTTTTTGTCTTTTCAATGACAGCAATTTATTCAAATTGAAGCAAGATTATATCACATTGTAGATTTGATTTGTATTTCCCTGAGGATTAGTGATACTGAGCATTTTAAAATTTATTTATTGGTTATTTGTATTTCTTTTTCTAAAAAAAAGTATAGTTATATATTTTGCCCAATTTTGAACTCAGATTTTTTTTACTGTGAAGTTGTTTGAGTTTTTTTGTATATTTTGTATATTAGTCCCTTATTAGGTGAATAGCTTGACAATATTTTCTCCTATTCTACAGGTTTTTTCTTCACTCAGTTGTTTGCTGGACAGAAGCTCTTTAGCTTAATGTAGTGTCATTTGTCTATGATTTGTTGTTTGCCTATGCTTCTGATGTCTTACCCATAAAAATCTTTGTGCAGACTAATGTCCTCAAACATTTTCCCTATATTTACTTAGAGTAGTTTGATAATTTTGGGCCTTATATTTCAGTCTTCAATCGATTCTGAGTTTATGTTGTTATATGGTGTTACATAGGAAGCTAATATCATTCTTCTCCATATGGATATTTAGTTTTCCCAGTGTCATTCATTTGAAGAGGCTGTCCTTTCCCCAGCGTATGTTCTTGGCATGTTCGTCCAAAATCAGTTGGCTGGAAATATGTGGATTTATTTCTGGGTGCCGTATTCTATGGTCTTTACCCCAAGAATCATTACTTCTTAAAATGCAATTCAAATTAGCATGAAACATTTGCAGTTTAAGGAAAGGCTTATAGCATCAGAATCCTTAATCATAGATTTCATTATTTTGTGTTGTTTTTTTGAGATAGGGTCTTTGTCTGTCATCCAGGCAGAAGTGCAGTGATAATAATTCACTGCAGCCCTGAACTCTGGGTACAAGCCATCCTTTTGCCTCAGTATCCCAACTAGCTGGTTCTACAGGCATGAGCCACCATGCCCGGGTAATTAAAAATTTTTTTTTTGTAGAGATGGGGGTCTCACTATGTTGCTCTGGCTGATCTCAAATTCCTGGCCTCAAGTGATCTTTCTGCCACAGCTTTTTAAAGTGCTAGGATTACAGGCATGAGCCACCATGCCTAATATAGAGTGTAATATTATTTTCAAAGTCTTATTCCTAGGCCCATTTATTGACTTTGGCCTAAATAACTCAATATGATATCTCTGAAACTTTTTTTGACATACTGTGGGGAATGATAATGAAGGAAGGGGGTTAGACACTTTTTACTAGGAGATAACTTTGTGCCATTTAAGGAGGAACAAAAATGAATTATCGAAAAATAAAAGTAAAATGAAGTACAAAAATTCTGTGGCGAAGATGATGATAGTAAAGAATATATTTTTATGACTCATGGTAGCTTTAACTTTGTTCTTAAAATTCTGAGTAATTTCAGGGTTCACATTTGAAGAATCTGCTGCATTACAGATAACATTTTATTGCAAGTAAATGCATTTCAAAATTTGCTATTGGTTTTGTATTAGATTATTCTCAGCCTACTTCATTATCAAGCTATACTATTTTATTCATGCAGTTTGATGATCTTATGGCAGAGAAGGAAGCTGTATCTTCAAAATGTGTCAATTTGGCTAAAGAGAATCAAGTTTTTCAACAGGAGTTATTATCTATGAAAAAAGCACAACAGGAATGTGAAAAATTTGAGGAGGATAAAAAGATGTTGGAAGAAGAAATATTAAATCTTAAGACACATATGGAAAACAGTATGGTAGAACTTAGTAAACTACAAGAATATAAATCAGAGCTAGATGAAAGGGCAATGCAGGCAGTAGAAAAATTAGAAGAAATACATTTACAGGTGAGTTGTTTCAATCAGGTAAGTTTACTTGTAATGTGCTTTCATTTATTTCACTTCAAATTATATTTATATAGTGTTTCCTCTGCCTCTCTTGTAGCAATCTGCTTTGTAGAGTTCTAGAAAAAAATGGTATCTCTTTTTTCTTTTAAATATTTAAATATCCATTATTATTGTAACAAAATCAATCTTTCAGAGTAATGATTCTCATTATGGAGTCATTTGATGATTAAGACCAGTTGGCATAGGAAGAAATTGTGATTTAGAAATTATGTGATAATTATGAATTGGTCTTAAGCTACAGTGTTCATTGATCACTTTTTCAAATTACGAATGGATTCTATTACTTTTTATATGACCAGATTACATTAATACTAGCATAATTATGATTTCAAATTTTTACAAATCAGACTTAATTCTGAATTCAGTTATTAGTTTTGATATTGCTGAAATATTTTAACCTTCAGCCTCTTTTTTAACATATTCAAAAATACTCTTTGAATCACTGACTCAAAATGAAAGGCAACAAACATAATAATTAGGTTATAATTGTTTTAAAAGTGTATTCTTTTCCTCTGTTTTAGGAACAAGCACAATATAAAAAACAATTAGAGCAGTTAAACAAGGATATAATACAGCTTCACTAAATAAGAAGGAACTCACACTTAAAGATGTGGAATGTAAATTCTACAAAATGAAAACTGCTTATGAAGAGGTTACAACTGAGTTAGAAGAATATAAGGAAGCCTTTGCAGCAGCATTGAAAGCTAACAGTTCCATGTTAAAAAAATTAACTAAGTAAGTCAAAACATACACTCATAGAAAATGAATTAACCTCATTAATTTGTTTCAAAAGCATAATTTTTAGTGAGATGGCTTCAGGAGATTAGAAGGAAGTGAATGTTAATTTGACAATGTAATTTTGAAAAATAATGTTAGTAAATAATCTTACCTTTAAAATGTTAGTCAAAGATAGTTTTTGTCTCTCCCCTCATTTTTTTTTTTTTTTGCTTTTGTATGGCTTTTTTTCCTGAAAAGTCTCAGGTAATTAACCTGATCTGTTAGTTTTCTTCACTAAGTATTTTTGAAGCTTTATAATTAATGAAGTGATCTTGTTATAAAATTACTTGTCAGAATTTCCCTAAATAGAAATATTAATGTGTTTAATTTACTTTTCTGTAGATCACAACCTAAATGCAAAGTGGTACTGCTACTCTGGGCACAATTGTTTTTGATTGTGATCTTTAGTATTATCACCAGAGTGTGCCTCAAGAAAGACTATTTGTGTAACATATTCAAGATGTTACAGAAAGGCACCCTTGTGAAATAGGGAATAATTATCACAGGAATTTAAAGAAGTGTAATTCACAAAGCGGTTAAAAAATAACACCTTGTTCAGCCTGAAGCGTTGTGTGGAAGGCAGAAAGAACATGCCCCACCTCCAGGGCCTTGGTCACAGTGTTGGGGGCTAATTCCCTTCAGAGATGCTTTAGTTCTTTTTGATCACCAACCAGACAATCTAGTTCTCCCCTAGGAGTTGTTGCTCTGAATTATTCCTCAGTGCCAAATGTGTAATTGGTCCTAGATAATGGGTGAAATGTACAAGAGTGAAATCTAAAACTGGTTTACTAAACACAAGTATTCCTAGATTTTTTTTGTTTATTTTAGTTTTCTTCACCTACATTAAGGAGTACAACATTATGTTTTGATATAATTATTTCTAGTGAAGTGGTTCTTATAATCAAGCAAATCAACATATTCATTTTCCCACATTATTACCCTTTAAATACAAGTATTTCTAATGGAATCTTCAGAATCTTACAAGTAGAGCCATTTTAGAAGGCAGGAAGTTTTACCTGTTGAGCCATACATCACTGATAGCCATTTCTCTTCCCTGTCTACTTTGTTTGAACTGCTTGTTCAGTAGAAATCACCTTAGAAACAATGGTGCTTCTTTAGAATGATTTTAAAATTATAATTCCTTACAACAGGTATGCTCTTACACATCTTCTGTGTGAAAACACTATTTAGTGGGTAATTTGGTTTACTCTCAGGGTAAGTTTTTAAAAACTGCAAGTCATTAAGAATCATTTAAGGAAAAATGAAATACTAAGCATTTGTCTTTGCTATCTTTACAGATCGAATAAGAAAATAGCAATGATCAGTATCAGCTCTTTATGGAGAAAGAGCAGGTGAAATATTTTCTCAGCACTCTTCCTGCAAGGCGAGGTCGAGAGTCACCTTGTGTTGAAAATCTTACTAGTATAGGACTCAATGAAAATATATTCCCCAAATGCCCGTAAGAATTCCTACTTCAAGCCTCAGACTTCAAATAATTGCCAGAACTACTTGACTGAGGTTAGTTATATGACCGTTTCTCTTTAGGGTTTCATTTCTCTAGCGTAATTCTTGTTTATAATTTGGTGAAATACTGAGTTGTTCTGTTGACTTTTGCATGTGAAGTAAAGATCATAATTAGCTGTGTTAACACAGAAAGGAAATGGGAACTTTACATTTTTTAATTCCCTGGAGCTCTCATTTTCAAGAGATATCCATTTGCTAACTTTATTCAATAAATGTGACTAAACTGAGACGTTTGAAATGTCTTTAAAAGCTGCATTTAAGTTAGGTTTTAGAAATTGCATGTTATTGCCTGATAACTGATGATATACTTTGAGATGCTTTGGCTTACTCTCTAATTGATTATAGTTTAGCTGTGGTTCATACCACATTTTTTTTTTCTTTTTTTTGAGGCAGTATCTCACTCTGTCACCCAGGCTGGAGTGTCTTGGTGCCATCTATCTCCACTCACTGCAAGCTCCACCTCCCGGGTTCAAGTGATTCTCCTGCCTCAGCCTCCTGAGTAGCTGAGACTACAAGCACCCACCATTACACCCAGCTAATGTTTGCATTTTTAGTAGAGACAGGGTTTCACCATATTGGCCAGGCTCTTCTTGAACTCCTGACCTTGTGATCTGCCTGCCTGAGCCTCTCAAAGTGCTGGGATTACAGGCATGAGCCACCGCACCCGGCCCATGTCACTTTTAAAGTTTCTTTGCACCAGCCAGGTGCAGTGGCTCATGCCTGTAATCCCAGCTCTTTGGGAGGCCGAGGCAGATGTATCACGAGGTCAGGAGTTCAAGACCAGCCTGGCCAAGATGGTGAAACCCCATCTCTACTAAAAGTACAAAAAAAAAAAAATATTACCCTGGTGCGGTGGTGGGCACCTGAAATCCCAGCTACTAGGAAGGCTGAGGAAGAGAATTGCTTGAACCTGGGAGACGGAGGTTGCAGGAGCTGAGATTGCACCACTGCACTCCAACCTGGGTGACAGGGCAAGACTCCATCTTGAAAATAAAAAAAATTAAAAAAAGTTTATTTGCACCATCTCACCGTATTTTGTATAGAGATACTTTGAGGCTCTGTAAATATCTGGTTACTCCTCAGAACCCACTAGATTTAGCATTTCATGGATGACTTGTGTTTGAACAATTATTACTATGATGGTTGCCAGATGATTATTTTCTTATTCTCTTCTTTGTTCTACATGGAGAAATAAAACCAATAAATAAGGGAGAAGGAAAGCTCATGATTCTGATGCTCCAATTCCCCAAGATTAGGCCAGTAGTAGACATTCCAAGCTGACTTTATGTCTCTTTGATTTGTCTCCATTACTCTGTCGGCACTTTTTTACTTTCTGGCAGAAGATGTTCTAAGCTCATCTTGTATTTTCTCTGCCCCAGCCCTGCAATGAGTAATTCTTTTTAGAAGCAGAGGTGGAGCCACTGAGGAAGCACAGGTGAGCCCTCCCCAGTGCCTACTCACTGGTCCCCAACAGAAGAACCGCTGCCGCATCCAAGAATGACACTGTAAATGTAACAAAGCTTCCGTGCTTGTTAGTGAACACCAACTCAGCTCCTCTCCTGTATTCAGAAATCAGGATGAGATGAAAACAACAAGCAGGCCAGGCACGGTGGCTCACGCCTGTAATCCCAGCACTTTGGGAGGATGAGGCAGGTGGATCACCTGAGGTCGGGAGTTCGAGACCACCCTGATCAAAACAGAGAAACCCCATCTCTACTGAAAATACAAAATTAGCCAGGCATGGTGGCAAATGCCTGTAATAGCAGCTACTCAGGAGCTGAGGCAGGAGAATTGCTTGAACCCGGGAGGTGGAGGCTGCAGTGAGCCGAGATCACACCACTGCGCTCTAGCCTGGGCAACAAGAGTGAAACTCTGTCTCAAAAGAAAAAAAAAATAAAAATAAAAGAACAAGAAAACAAAACTAACAAGGCTTGACACCAGATGAGCCTGAATCTAAGCAAGAAAAGCCCAGAAGAAATCCCATTTTGGGTCACTGGCTGCATTGTAGTAATACCATACACATAAAGGAAGAGAGGAGGATGTGGCTTTCACTTTGAATTTTTTGAGCTTAAGGTAACTTTTGCGTAGCTACAAAGAAGCATTCAACAGAGAGTTAAACCTATGATGGAAAGACTGAAGAGGTCCAAGCTGTAGAGAAACAGGACTGCAAACCACAAAGGGCTGAATCAGTCAAGGAGAACTGCACGGCGGGATGAACAGGGACCAGTGGAACATTTGGATAAGCTGTTGAGAAGAAAGGAGAATTCAGAGAAAAAGAACTGTCAGTGAGGTCATAATAGGAACTGTTACAGTGAACTAAATATGGCCTGGGAAGGACTCTGTACTTCTAGACTTGAGTCCCTGTGGACAAACTGCAACCTAACTTAATAGGTAGAAAGACTGAAAACCTAACTTAGGAGTATGCACCTGTAACTATAGCTGAGTCCTGGCCAATCCCAACAGCCAAACTTCTGCCACTCACACACTGCTGAGTGTTCAGCTGTGTTCAAATAAGGCAAATGCTGAGCACTGTAACCAGTCCAGTTGTTTCTGGACCACATTGCTGAGAATGGTAAGGGACCCAGTTGCTTCCGGACCTCACTCCTCACTCAGATTTCTGTACATCACGTTCCCTTTATTGTCTATAAATCTTCCACCCTGTAGCTGTGCTGGAGTCTCACCAAATCTTCTGTGATTCTGGGGGCTGCCTGATTTGTGAATCATTCATTTCTCAATTAAGTTCCTTTAAATTTAATTCAGCTGAAGATTTTCTTTTAACAGATGGTGTCAGAAGTGGGATCTGTGGGAGCAGGACTGCTAGGGCCTCCGGAGCTATAATGTGGTGAGCAGTGTTCCTAGGGCTTCTAATGACCCCCAGGAGTGCTGAAGTACAAGAAAGGCACCTGCAAGGACTGCTCTGTGATGGCAGCAGTGGCCCATGTGGAGCAGTTGCTACGGAGACACTGGCTGCAGTGAGGAGGAGTGGCTGGGGCTGTGCGCTCCTCGAAGCTGGTGGGAGTCAGGAAAGGGTGGGAGCCCCACCCCTTCTAAATTGGCAGGCAGGAGCCCCGCCCTCCCAGGCACAGCTGCAGCCATCCAGCCATGACTGCAAACCCGGGCATCTTTGCACTCTCAGAGGCCCAGCAAGCCCCCCTGCCCCCGCAGGCTCAGTTGTACCTGGTCCCACCACCTGGCGTCTCTCCACTCCCAGAGCCCACTCCAACCTCAGATCCAAGTTGAGGCTGAACCCAGGCACAGTCGGAACCCGGCCTGGTATGTGCAAGCTCAAGGCAGTGCTGACATGCCAGCCCCCTGCCACCTCAGCCCCCTCCAGACTTTGGGCACTGACGAGCACAAGAGGGAGGTTGAGGTGGGGCTAAGAGTGGCTCAGCACTGGCCTGAAGGCACTCCTCAGCTCGAACAGCCTCGGCAATGTGGGCACAGCTAACCACAGTGCATCTCTCTCAGCTGCTGAGAGCTGAACAGACGTTGGGATGACTTGCCTGCAGAAAGGAGCTACCGACTGCAGGTCTCCTCTGAGCTGAACTGTTGCTCAATAAAGCACCTCTTCACCTTGCTCACCTTCTACTTGCCCACATACCTCATTCTTCCTGGACTCAGGACAAGAACTCGGGACCTGCCAACTAGCAGGGCTGAAAGAGGTGTAACATAAACAGGGCTGAAACGCACCCCTTGCTTGCCAAATTGCAGGCAAGAAGAAGAGAAGAGAGAAGGAGACAAGAGCTGTGGCCCTTCAGGGAGCCCAGACCTAGGAGCTCCCCAAGCCAGGGCTATGATGCCTTCTTTGGGGTTCTGCAGTTCCTGCATCTCCAAGTTTCTGGGCGCCACTGCATTCCCTGATACCCACAGTGGAAGCTGTTTGCAGTCGGCCTGGTCCAGCTGCAGCCTCACAGGGATCTGGCACCTGTGCCGGTGCCTGGAGCTGCCCACCCCACTGCAGCTGGCATGCTTGACTGTGTGCAGTGGCCAGATCCCATGCTTGCTTGCTCACACACCCTTCACTGCTCTGTACCCAGATCACCCTTGGCAAGTGTGGGATCCAAACCACTAGCATGACCCGAGTGGACAGAACGAACCCAGTGGGCCCGAGCAAAACACAGGTAAAGGCACCACCAGCCAGAGGCTTCAGGCAGAAAAGTGATGTCTCAGGATTCTGTAACACTTGTGCCCTTTGATCTCTCAGAGCTGCTGGGGATCATGATAAATTCTTTCTCGGATTTCAGAGCTCCATGGATTTGTGTTTTGAGCTCTGAGTTTCTTTGAGCAAATTTCTGTTCCAAACTGCTATCCAGCCATGACTGGCTGGATGTTTTAGAAGTTATGACAGAAACGGGACCGGGTCCAGGATCAGATTTGATCCAGTAGTTAACTGGCTTGAATCCAGTTCCAGTTAGAGACCTCCTACATCTGAATGGGTCAGAAGGAAAGTGGTAGTAAATGATAATATTGTAGGGCTGTAAAATTTGGCTTTTGAAAATTCACAGGGATTTTTGTGTTCTACCCCTTTGTTTCATTTTCCTCACACGCTTAGGTAGGAAAAAAAATCATTGGCTAAGTCAATCAAGGGAACCTGGGAGTAAAGCCAATATATTAGGTAAAAATAGGATCCTTAATTTCTGGAAAACTTAGTTCCTTCTGGCTAATTCATTAGGCCTGGGAGGCAGCAAAGTCTTACAGAAATGGCAAAATCTTACTAAAGTTAACTTACAGTGGAATATTCCAAATGAATAATGCCCTGAAGTGCATTTAAAAATGAGGGCTCCCAAATTAGTCTCATCTAGGGATGCCTATTAATATGCAGAAGCTTCTAAAAAGATTTAGAGATGGCACGGCCTATCTGGGAGCAAGTTTGAGTCTTACCAGTTTGACACTGGGTGCTAAGCAAAGTGGCTCGTGTCTATGTTTTGTCACATGTATTTTGCTCTGAGCAGAATGAAAAATGTTAATTTGGTTACTCCAAGCAACCCCTTGGGCAACATCTTGCAAAGCTGAGTGGATTCTTCCTGTGGCTCCATGATTTCCATTGTGATGCAGCTTGGCCCCAGAGCTATAATGTGAGGAGGGTGACAGAGAAAGATGTTATCTTTAAAAAAAAAATGGCCAGAGGCAGTGGCTCACGCCTGTAATCCCAACACTTGGGGAGGCTGAGGCAGGTGGATCACCTGAGGTCAGGAGTTCAGGGCCAGCCTGAACAACAAGGAAAAACCCCGTCTCTACTAAAAACACAAAATTAGCTGGGCATGGTGGGGCACGCCTCTAATCCCAGCTACTCAGGAGGCTGGGGCAGGAGAATTGCTTGAATCTGGGAGGCAGGGGGTTGCAGTAAACCGAGATCGCGCCATTGCACTCCAGCCTGGGCAACAAGAGGGAAAATCCACCTCAAGAAAAGAAAATAATAATAGATTTGCCTATAAGGTTTTATGAAAAAGTGGGTGACATTTGGCTTTCTCTCTTTAAAGAAGATTTTCAGAAAATATTAAAAAATAATGGGAGAAGGAGCCAAGCTGGCCGAATAGGAACAGCTCGAGTCTACAGCTCCCAGCATGAGCGATGCAGAAGACGGGTGATTTCTGCATTTCCATTTGAGGTACTGGGTTCATCTCACTAGGGAGTGCCAGACAGTGGGCGCAGGACAGTGGGTGAAGTGCACTGTGCACTAGCTGAAGCAGGGCGAGGCATTGCCTCACTTGGGAAGTGCAAGGGGTCAGGGAGTTAGTTCCCTTTCCTGGTCAAGGAAAGGGGTGACAGACGGCACCTGGAAAATCAGGCCACTCCCACCCTAACACTGCGCTTTTCTGACGGGCTTAGGAAACGGCACACCAGGAGATTATATCCGGCACCTGGCTCAGAGGGTCCTATGCCCATGGAGTCTCGCTGATTGCTAACACAGCAGTCTGAGATCAAACTGCAAGGCGGCAGCGAGGCTGGGGGAGGGGCACCGGCTATTGCCCAGGCTCTCTTAGGTAAACAAAGCAGCCGGGAAGCTCGAACTGGGTGGAGCCCACCACAGCTCAAGGAGGCCTTCCTGCCTCTGCAGGCTCCACCTCTGGGGGCAGGGCACAGACAAACAAAAAGGCAGCAGTAACCTCGCAGACTTAAATGTCCCTGTCTGACAGCTTTGAGGAGAGCAGTGTTTCTCCCAGCACACAGCTGGAGATCTGAGAATGTGCAGACTGCCTCCTCAAGTGGGTCCCTGATCCCTGACCCCCAAGCAGCCTAACTGGGAGGCACCCCCCAGTAGGGGCAGACTGACACCTCACACGACCGGGTACTCCTCTGAGACAAAACTTCCAGAGGAATGATCAGACAGCAACATTCACGGATCACGAAAATCCACGGTTTTGCAGACACCACTGCTGATACCCAGGCAAATAGGGTCTGGAATGGGCCTCTAGCAAACTCCAACATACCTGAAGCTGAGGGTCCTGTCTGTTAGAAGGAAAACTAACAAACAGAAAGGACATCCACACCAAAAACCCATCTGTACATCACCATCATCAAAGACCAAAAGTAGATAAAACCACAAAGATGGGGAAAAAACAGAGCAGAAAAACTGGAAACTCTAAAAAGCAGAGCACCTCTCCTCCTCCAAAGGAATGCAGTTCCTCACCAGCAATGGAACAAAGCTGGACAGAGAATGACTCTGACGAGTTGAGAGAAGAAGGCTTCAGATGATCAAACTACTCCGAGCTACAGGAGGAAATACAAACCAAAGGCAAAGAAGTTGAAAACTTTGAAAAACTTTAGAAGAATGTATAACTAGAATAACCAATATAGAGAAGTGCTTAAAGGAGCTGATGGAGCTGAAAGCCAAGGCTCGAGAACTATGTGAAGAATGCAGAAGCCTCAGGAGATGATGAGATCAACTGGAAGAAAGCATATCAGTGATGAAAGATGAAATGAATGAAAAGAAGCATGAAGAGAAGTTTAGAGAAAAAAGAATAAAAAGAAATGAACAAAGCCTCCAAGAAATATGGGACTATGTGAAAAGACCAAATCTGTGTCTGATTGGTGTACCTGAAAGTGACGGGAAGAATGGAACCAAGTTGGAAAACACTCTGCAGGATATTATCCAGGAGAACTTCCCCAATCCAGCAAAGCAGGCCAACATTCAGATTCAGGAAATACAGAGAATGCCACAAAGATACTCCTCGAGAACAGCAACTCCAAGACACATAATTGTCAGATTCACCAAAGTTGAAATGAAGGAAAAAATGTTAAGGGCAGCCAGAGAGAAAGGTCAGGTTACCCACAAAGGGAAGCCCATCAGACTAACTGCTGATCTCTCGGCAGAAACTCTACAAGCCAGAAGAGAGTGGGTGCCAATATTCAACATTCTTACAGAAAAGAATTTTCAACCCAGAAATTCATATCCAGCCAAACTAAGCTTCATAAGTGAAGGAAAAATAAAATACTTTACAGACAAGCAAATGCTGAGAGATTTTGTCACCACCAGGCCTGCCCTAAAAGTGCTCCTGAAGGAAGCACTAAACATGGAAAGGCACAGTCGGTACCAGCCACTGCAAAAACATGCCAAATTGTAAAGACCATCAAGACTAGGAAGAAACTGGGTCAATTAACGAGCAAAATAACCAGCTAACATCATAATGACAGGATCAAATTCACACATAACAATATTAACTTTAAATGTAAATGGATTAAATGCTCCAATTAAAAGACACAGACTGGCTAATTGGATAAAGAGTCAAGACCCATCAGTGTGCTGTATTCAGGAAACCCATCTCACGTGCAGAGACACACATAGGCTCAAAATAAAAGGATGGAGGAAGATCTACCAAGCAAATGGAAAACAAAAAAAAGCAGGGGTTGCAATCCTAGACTCTGATAAAACAGACTGTAAACCAACAAAGATCAAAAGAGACAAAGAAGACCATTACATAATGGTAAAGGGATCAATTCAACAAGAAGAGCTATCTATCCTAAATATATATGCACCCAATACAGGAGCACCCAGATTCATAAAGCAAGTCCTTAGAGACCTACAAAGAAACTTAGACTCCCACACAATAATAATGGGAGACTTTAACACTCCACTGTCAACATTAGACAGATCAATTAGACAGAAAGTTCACAAGGATACCAAGGAGTTCAACTCAGCTCTGCACCAAGGGGACCTAATAGACATCTACAGAACTCTCCACCCCAAATCAACAGAATATACCTTTTTTTCAGCACCACACCACACCTATTCCAAAATTGACCACATACTTGGAAGTAAAGCCCTCTCCAGCAAATGTAAAAGAAGAGAAATTATAACAAACTGTCTCTCAGACCACAGTGCAATCAAACTAGAACTCGGCATTAAGAAACTCACTCAAAACTGCTCAACTACATGGAAACTGAACAACCTGCTCCTGAATGACTACTGGGTACATAACAAAATGAAGGCAGAAATAAAGATGTTCTTTGAAACCAATGAGAACAAAGACACAACATACCACAATCCCTGGGACGCATTCAAAGTAGTGTGTAGAGGGAAATTTATAGCACTAAATGCCCACAAGGGAAAGCAGGAAAGATCCAAAATTGACACCCTAACATCACAATTAAAAGAACTAGAAAAGCAAGAGCAAACACATTCAAAAGCTAACAGAAGGCAAGAAATAACTAAAATCAGAGCAGAACTGAAGGAAATAGCAACAAAAAAACGCTTCAAAAAATTAATGAATCCAGGAGCTGGTGTTTTGAAAGGATCAACAAAATTGATACACTGTTCGCAGGACTAATAAAGTAAAAAAGAGAGAAGAATCAAGTAGACACAATAAAAAATGATAAAGGGGATATCACCACTGATCCCTCAGAAATACAAACTACCATCAGAGAATACTACAAACACCTCTATGCAAATAAACTAGAAAATCTAGAAGAAATGGATAAATTCCGCCACACATACACTCTCCCAAGACTAAACCAGGGAGAAGTTGAATCTCTGAATAGACCAATAACAGGATCTGAAATTGTGGCAATAATCAATAGCTTACCAACCAAAAAGAGTCCTGGACCAGATGGATTCACAGCCAAATTCTACCAGAGGTACAAGGAGGAACTGGTACCATTCCTTCTGAAACTATTCCAATCAATAGAAAAAGAAGGAGTCCTCCCTAACTCATTTTATGAGGCCAACATCATCCTGATACCAAAGCCGGGAAGAGACACAACAAAAAAGAGAATTTTAGACCAATATCCTTAACGAATATTGATGCAAAAATCCTCAATAAAATACTGGCAAACCAAATCCAGCAGCATATAAAAAAGCTTATCCACCATGATTAAGTGGGTTTCATCCCTGGGATGCAAGGCTGATTCAATATACACAAATCAATAAATGTAATCCAGCATATAAACAGGACCAAAGACAAAAACCACATGATTATCTCAATAGATGCAGAAAAGGCCTTTGACAAAATTCAACAACGCTTCATGCTAAAAACTCTCAATAAATTAGGTATTGATGGGACGTATCTCAAAATAATGAGGGCTATCTATGACAAACCCACAGCCAATATCATACTGAATGGGCAAAAACTAGAAGCATTCCCTTTGAAAACGGGCACAAGACAGGGATGCCCTCTCTCACCACTCCTATTCAACATAGTGTTAGAAGTTCTGGCCAGGGCAATTAGGCAGGAGAAGGAAATAAAGGGTATTCAATTAGGAAAACAGGAAGTCAAATTGTCCCTCTTTGCAGATGACATGATTGTATATCTAGAAAACCCGATTGTCTCAGCCCAAAATCTCCTTAAGCTGATAAGTAACCTCAGCAAAGTCTCAGGATACAAAATCAATGTACAATAATCACAAGCATTCTTATACACCAAAAACAGACAAACACAGAGCCAAATCATGAGTGAACTCCCATTCGCAATTGCTTCAAAGAGAATAAAATACTTAGGAATCCAATTTACAAGGGACGTCAAGGACCTCTTCAAGGAGAACTACAAACCACTGCTCAATGAAATAAAAGAGGATACAAACAAATGGAAGAACATTCCATGCTCATGGATAGGAAGAATCAATATTATGAAAATGGCCATACTGCCCAAGGTAATTTATAGATTCAATGCCGTCCCCATCAAGCTACCAATGACTTTCTTCACAGAATTGGAAAAAACTACTTTAAAGTTCATATGGAACCAAAAAAGAGCCTGCATCACCAAGTCAATCCTAAGCTGAAAGAACAAAGCTGGAGGCATCACCCTACCTGACTTCAAACTATACTACAAGGCTACAGTAACCAAAACAGCATGGTACTGGTACCAAAACAGAGATACAGACCAATGGAACAGCACAGAGCCCTCAGAAATAATGCTGCGTATCTACAACTATCTGATCTTTGACAAACCTGACAAAAACAAGGAGTGTATTCCCTATTTAATAAATGGTGCTGGGAAAACTGGCTAGCCATATGTAGAAAGCTGAAACTGGATCCCTTCCTTACACCTTATACAAAAATTCATTCAAGATGGATTAAAGACTTAAATGTTAGACCTGAAACCATAAAAACCCTAGAAGTAAAACTAGGCATTACCATTCAGGACATAGGCATGGGCAAGGACTTCATGTCTAAAACACCAGAAGCAATGGCAACAAAAGCCAAAATTGACAAATGGGATCTAATTAAACTAAAGAGCTTCTGCACAGCAAAAGAAACTGCCATCAGAGTGAACAGGCAACCTACAAAATGGGAGAAAATTTTTGCAACCTACTCATCTGACAAAGGGCTAATATCCAGAATCTACAACGAACTTAAACAAATTTACAAGAAAAAAACAAACAACCCCATCAAAAAGTGGGTGAAGGATATGAACAGACACTTCTCAATAGAAGATCTTTATGCAGCCAAAAGACACATGAAAAAATACTCATCATCACTGGCCATCAGAGAAATGCAAATCAAAACCACAATGAGATACCATCTCACACCAGTTAGAATGGCAATCATTAAAAAGTCAGGAAACAACAGGTGCTGGAGAGGATGTGGAGAAATAGAAACTATTTTACACTGTTGGTGGGACTGTAAACTAGTTCAACGATTGTGGAAGTCAGTGTGGCGATTCCTCAAGTATCTGGAACTAGAAATACCATTTGACCCAGCCATCCCATTAGTGGGTATATAACCAAAGGACTATAAATCATGCTGCTATAAAGACACATGCACACGTATGTTTATTGTGGCACTATTCACAATAGCAAAGACTTGGAACCAACCCAAATGTCCAACAACGATAGACTGGATTGAGAAATTGTGGCACATATACACCATGGAATACTATGCAGCCATAAAAAATGATAAGTTCATGTCCTTTGTAGGGATATGGATGAAATTGGAAATCATCATTCTCAGTAAACTATCACAAGGACAAAAAACCAAACACTGCGTGTTCTCATTCATAGATGGGAATTGAACAATGAGAACACATGGACACAGGAATGGGAACATCACACTCTGGGGACTGTTGTCAGGTGGGGGGAGAAGGGAGGGATAGCATTAGGAGATATTCCTAATGCTAAATGACGAGTTAATGGGTGCAGCACACCAGACTGGCATATGTATACATATGTAACTAACCGGCACATTGTGCACATAAACCCTAAAACTTGAAGTATAATAATAATAATAATAATAATAAAAATAAAATAATAAAATGAAAAATTTGTTTGCCTTGTAAATAAACTACCAAAAAAAAAAGGAAAAACAAGAGGCAGATTATTTGTGGAAATAAGTCTTCCCCCTATCAATGAGTAAAGATTTTTGCCCTTTAAAAATTTTTTAAGTCATGATTTTAGGTAAATGAATGACTTACGTTGACATGGAATTCTATTTCATAACATCAAGTGTTTAAACCTTTAATATATTTAATAGGCTTCCCAAAATCAAATTTCAACTTCAAAATTTTTTTTCTGACCTCTAACTTTGGGATACTACAGAGGCCCCTGAAGTACCCAAAAGAGAAGTAAACAGGACTATTTAACATGTTAAGTCACATGGCTAGAACTGTCAAAATAAAAAATAATGTTGAACCTTCTTTAGGTTATATTCAGTGTATGTCATCAATCCATTCTAAAATTGTATAGGATTTCTAAAATTCTTGTATTTTTTTTTTTTTCTGAGATGGAATCTTGCTCTGTCACCCAGGCTGGAGTACAGTGGTGCAATCTCGGCTCACTGCAACCTCCACCTCCCGGGTTCATGCCATTCTCCTGCCTCAGCCTCCTGAGTAGCTGGGACTACAGGCACCCACCACCATGCCAGGCTAATTTTTGTATTTTTAGTAAAGATGGATTTCACCATGTTAGCCAGGATGGTCTCGATCTCCTGACCTTGTGATCCTTCCACCTCGGCCTCCCACAGTGCTGGGATTACAGGCATGAGCCACTACATCCACCCTAATTATGGTTATTAAGTTATTGTAGACCACAGAAATAACCAAATTTCCTTGTCAATTGTCTTTAACTATAACTATTTAAAGTCATTTCCACAGTTAATTGCTTAATGGTGATGCAGTTTCTAAAAACTTCACAAGCATGTAAAATTTTAGAATATGGTGTCTCTTAGAAGATCCATGAAAGAAAGAAAAGGACCCTGAGAAACACTTGTGAACACAGGTTTCTAATAACTTTAATATCATGGGTAAAAATTCCCCATAAGTTCCCCGATCCCCCAAGAATTGGACTGGCTAAGAATTCTCAAAAGTTAGGCTGGGTGCAGCGGCTCACGCTGGCAATCCCAGCACTTTGGGAGGCCAAGGCCGGTGGGTCACTTGAGGTCAGGAGTTTGAGACCAGCCTGGCCAATGGTGAAACCCCACCTCTACTAATAATATAAAAATTAGCTGGGTGTAGTGGTATGTGCCTGTAATCCCAGCTACTCTGGAGGCTGAGGCAAGAGAATTGCTTGAACCCAGGAGGTGGAGGTTGCAGTGAGCCAAGATTGTGCCACTGCACTCCAACCTAGGTAACAGAGTGAGACTCTGTCTCAAAAAAAAAAAAAAAATCCCAAAAGTTTAATAAAAAGACCAACTGGTTTATAAAACTGCTAACCTAAGTAAAACAAAAATTGTATACCAAGGAAATATTTTGCCACATTTGCATGCTAAATCACCAATATTGAAATTGTTTAGATATATAATTTAAATAAACTCCATGGTCTAAGTCAAATCACCTATAACTACTCATCAGTTACCAGTACCATACACCTAATTTGGAGAAACAGCTGGTATTCAAGAGGATGTAAGTCTAATGTTAATTAAGCACAGACTTATGAAGAACCAGGATGGCCACCTTATCCTTCTTAAGTCCTTAAAACTTTTGTTATTAAAAGTTCTGCATTCCATAACTCATCATGGAAAGAGAAAATGATCCAAATTAAATATATTGGTGTGGTGATTTCTAAACTGCTAAAATAGTTTATAACCAATGTTTGGTTTGTCATACCTATATTCCTAGGAAAACAATCAAAACTTCAGGTACATTTGGTTATGTGATGGGCCATTTAAACATTTTATAAAGGGATTTCATTCAGTTGTCATTTTCAGTGCATGTTTTCTGATTGTATAAAAGCTCTTCCATGCGAGACAGTTGATGTTGAAACAGTAGATTATTACCCTGAAGTGTATTTTCACCAGGTAAAGAAAGCCTTTTATGGCTCACTGAGGACAGTCAACCCCTTCAAAATCTAGAATCTGATGACTGGATCTTCTGAGAACATCAGAGAAGGACTGCCCTTGCCATCCACATGACAGCAAAACTTTAAAACCTTAAACTTTGGGTTCATAGTCTCACAACTCAGAAGGGTCCTTCCACACTTGGAACCATATACCCATTGGAACCCTTAAGGTAAAGCTAACAAGGACAGTTCCCCCCAGAAGAAGATGGTATCCCTAATGTGAACAGCTTTTCCCAAGATCACAGATCAAGACTTCTCTACTATCATGAGACACTTATCTTAAGTATCTGTGCAGCTGCTAACACTTACAGCATGTGGAGAAAACATGGGGTATTATAAAGATTCGGTTGTAGGGAATTAACAAAAAACCCACTTAGTTAAGCAAGTAAACTCTTTAATTCATTCTTTAATCTATTTGATTTTAGGTGGTTTGATTTATGGGGACCCTGAGTTAGGAGCATATACCAAATTCTTGGTGTTATCCCAATAGTCATAAGAGTCTCCCTGGTGCACTGTACTTACTCAAATGTTTTAAGAGTTTGCATGCAGGCATCTCTAAAATATCAAATGGTATCTCTTCAACTGGAATGACAAGTGATTAAAAAAAAAGTGCAACCATAAGGACACCATATCCTATGAGTGATATACTAAACCGGAAACCCAAAACAATGAGAGTGACATGCTAAACCAGAAACCCAAAACAATGGGAGTGATGTACTAAACTGGAACCCAAAACAGTGCGAGTGACGTGCACTAAAACCAGAACCCAAAACAATGGGAGTGACCTGCAAAACCAGAAACCCAAAACAATGGGAGTGACTTGCTAAAACTGGAACCCAAAACAATGGGAGTGATGTGCTAAAACCAGAAACGAAAACAATGGGAGTGACCTGCTAAACCAGAAACCCAAAACAATGGGAGTGACATGTAAAACCAGAAACCAAAACAATGGGAGTGATGTGCTTAAACCGGAACCCAAAACAATGGGAATGACCTGCTAAACCAGAAACCCAAAACAATGGGAGTGACCTGTTAAACCAGAAACCCAAAACAATGGGAGCATCCTGCTAAACCAGAAACCGAAAACAATGGGAGTGACCTGCTGAACCAGAAACCCAAAACAATGGGAGTGATGTGTAAAACCAGAAACCCAAAACAAAGGGAGTGACATGCTAAAACCAGAAACCCAAAACAATGGGAGCGTCCTGCTACACCAGAAACCCAAAACGATGGGAGTGACGTGATAAAACCAGACACCCAAAACAATGGGAGTGACGTGCTAAAACCAGAACCCAAAACAATGAGAGTGACGTGCTAAACCAGAACCCAAAACAATGGGAGTGACGTGCTAAACCAGAAACCCAAAACAATGGGAGTGATGTGCTAAAACCAGAAACGAAAACAATGGGAGTGATGTGCTTAAACCGGAACCCAAAACAATGGGAGTGACCTGCTAAACCAGAAACCCAAAACAATGGGAGTGACATGTAACCCAGAAACCAAAACAATGGGAGTGATGTGCTTAAACCGGAACCCAAAACAATGGGAATGACCTGCTAAACCAGAAACCCAAAACAATGGGAGTGACCTGCTAAACCAGAAACCCAAAACAATGGGAGCGTCCTGCTAAACCAGAAACCGAAAACAATGGGAGTGACCTGCTGAACCAGAAACCCAAAACAATGGGAGTGACGTGTAAAACCAGAAACCCAAAACAATGGGAGTGACATGCTAAAACCAGAAACCCAAAACAATGGGAGCGTCCTGCTAAACCAGAAACCCAAAACAATGGGAGTGACGTGCTAAAACCAGAAACCCAAAACAATGGGAGCATCCTGCTACACCAGAAAACCAAAACGATGGGAGTGACGTGATAAACCAGAAACCCAAAACAATGGGAGTGACGTGCTAAAACCTGGAAACCCAAAACAATGGGAGTGAGGTGCTAAAACCAGATACACAAAACAATGGGAGTGACGTGCTAAAACCAGAACCCAAAACAATGAGAGTGAAGTGCTAAACCAGAACCCAAAACAATGGGAGTGACGTGCTAAAACAGGAACCCAAAACAATGAGAGTGAGGTGCTAAACCAGAAACCCAAAACAATGGGAATGACGTGCTAAAACCGGAACCCAAAACAATGGGAGTGACGTGCTAAACCAGAAACCCAAAACAATGGGAATGATGTGCTAAAATCGGAACCCAAAACAATGGTAACTAAGAGTGGTGTTAAGGCCCTACATTTTGGTCACACTCTCAACTAAGTGAGAACTTGACTGAAAAAGAGGATTTTTTTTTCTAAGACAGAGTCTTGGTCTGTCCCCCAGAGTGGAGTGCAGTGGCACGATCTCGGCTCACTGCAAGCTCCGCCTCCCGGGTTCAGGCAATTCTCCTGCCTCAGCCTCCTGAGTAGCTGGGACTACAGGCACCCGCTGCCACACTTGGCTAATTTTTTGTATTTTTAGCAGAGACGGGGTTTCACCTTATTAGCAAGGATGGTCTCAATCTCCTGACCTCGTGATCTGCCCACCTCAGCCCCCCAAAGTGCTGGGATTACAGGTGTAAGCCACCTCACCCAGCCAAAAGGAGGAATTTTTTAAGCAAAATTATGGGAGGCCATTGTTTTGAACTAAGCTCATGCAATAGGTCCCAACAGACCAAACCAAATAAAATCGAGTCACTCATGCTAAATGTAACATAATCAAACTAAGACTTTAAGGAAACACATAAATCCTAGAACAAACCAGGTTTTGTTTTTCTCCTGTAAACAGGATGTTCCAGCATAAGAAGATATATTCTACTCAAGTCCTTGTTCCACCTTTTCAAATCTCACTGGTCTATTTCCCAGTGGGTTTCTAAACCAAGTAAGTACATTTGCAATGGTAATAGTGACACCAGTGACTGAAGTTTTGGCCAATCTCTCAAAATTGAGAAAATAACCAAAGGGAAGGCATTGTTAAAGTGAACTAAGTATGGCCTGAGAAGGACTCCATAATTCTATATATGAGTCCTTGTGGATGAACTGCAACCTACCTTAATAGGTATACAAGAATGAAAAACTAACTTGAGAGTATGCACCTGGAACAACAGCTACATCTTGGCCAATCCCAATGGCCAAACTTCAACCACTCAGGCACTGCCAAATGTTCAAAATGTGTTCAAAGAAGGCAAACGCTGAGTTGTTTCTGTACCTCACTTCCGATTTCGGTATGCCATTTCCCTTTTGTCTATAAATCTTCTTCCACCACATGACTGCGCTGGAGTCTCTGTGAATCTGCTGTGATTCTGGGGACTGTCTGATTCGTGAATCGTTTATTGCTCAATTAAACTCCTTTAAAGTTTTTCTTTTAACAGAACTAACACAGAAGAATTTCCAGGTCATGAACAGACGTTTTGTAATACCCAACGTTGTATTAACATGAATAGACTCTTCCTTAGATAGCTAACCTTGTTTTTAATATGAATAGACTCTCCCTTAGCTGAGAAAACCAGACAAACTCTATTTGGCTCCTTCATTTACAAGACATCAAGGGCTCCTTACCCACCCCCTTTCCTCAAGGACTTTAACTTGTGCAAACTGATTTTCAACATATCAAAGAGTGCAATTAACTGATAAAGTGCTGAGACAAGCGATGTCGGCAGTTCCCAGCAAATTACTCAGAGATAGTATCATAAAGCCCCCACATTTGTCCAGCAGATAATGCCCAGAGCCCCCTCACCTATCACTTTGTGGTGAATTTAAAGCCCCTGCACCTGGAACAGTTTGTTTTCCTGTAACCATCAGTCTTTTTAACTTTTTTGTCGTTTTTTTCTTCTGTAAAGTTGCTGCAGCTAGAATCCCCCCTCCCCTCTCTAAACCAAAGTATAAAAGAAAATCTATTCCCTTCTTCGGGGCCGAGAGAATTTTGTGCATTGGCCGTCTCTCAGTCACCGGCTAATAAAGGACTCCTGAATTCGTCTCAAAGTGTGGCGTTTCTCTCTAACTCACTCAGGTATGACAGTTTCAACTATGGTAGAAGACTCGAGTAAGGCAAATACAGTCCCCCTAAATTTGACTATTATTTAGGTTAATGGTGAGTTTAGAAGAAATAAGTTAAGACTACACAGAGTGGGCTAAAGTGCAAATAAACACTGGAAATATTTCCCAGAAAATATGACTTTGAACAGGCTGCTGCACACCCTGCATGTAGAGATAAACTAAGAAAAAGGTGTGGAGAGTTATTTAAGGACCTATGGTTAACTCAGTCCTCAAGATGTTCCAGGTTTCATCCATGAATCAAGGAGGACCTCCCAAAAGCTGTTTGGGACCACACTCTTTGAGCAAGGAGCATACCTTACGATGGAAGCTGTGCTTTAGTGGCAGATGACCATTTCCACTGCACAAAACGCCATGCTTTAGCGGAAGATGACCGTTTCCACTGCACAACACTACAAGTGGTTACTGCCAGGCCGGTGTGAAATATGTTCCAGCACATAATCTATGTCACCAATGAAGGTGGTGGTTCTGACTTGGTGCACAGAAGCTTTCCTGTCCCACAAGAACACAGCATGCTCTCTTCTCGGATTCCATTCCAATCACGTAACAAATATGACTGCCTTTTTTGTCTCGGCATCAGAAAGATCAGAGGAAACTTTGCACCCAACTTAGACAACTCTAAGCTCTTATAACCTGCCTATATCTACAGGTCAGCTTTATCTTATTTATGTATATTTCCTTCAACCTGAGTTTTACTTATTTCTACTTTTCCTTTTTAATTCACAGACACCAATAAACTCAGAAAATACAGTGTAAAACAAAGTGAAGAACAAATAAACAACTCACCAGAGATTTATTCGTTTCCTGTTGCTCTTGGAAACACCCAGAGGACACTGGAAACACAGCTGGGATAGAAGGCAAATGACGTGGGTTAAGGAGAGAACTGGTGTGGTGTGGTCCCAGATTCTTCTGCCCAACACTCTAGACACATTACTTGGGAAAGCCCTCCTCCCTCCTGAAAAATAAAAACTTCCCCATGGGAGAAGAGTCCTTCATGCCCCATTAGGGGCAACAAAGACTCAAGTTAAGATGATACATCTACAAGTACATTAATTGGTAGACATTAGATGCACAATTTATTTTTGAATAAAAACATGTATTACCTACTAATTTAGTAACAATATTATCTAAAGATATAATCTAATAATTTAATACAAAGAAACATAAGTTCACTAAAATAAATGTTATAGAAATATACTAGGCTGTATTAACTATTTTCCTATTAATATGTAGATTCCACAAATAACTTCATATGAGTGTTCCCATGACAGTACATCTTGCTTTTCTATACCTGAACATCATGGAAAGTGCATCTTGCAATCCAGCAATTTTGGCCTACAATTACGTTTTTTAAAATGTACATAATATGTATTTCCTACAGTACACCATTCTACTCATGTTTCCCAATAACACCTTTCCTTCTATCCAAGCCCTCATATTATGCTCTGACAATAAATTGGGCTTTTCCATCTGACTTGTCCAGTGAATGGACAATGGAAAATGTGATGCAAATATACATTGGTTCTTCCCATTTTGGACACAGTCAAATTGTGAAGAGGTCTGGAGCTACCCTGTTGGAGACACAGGGCCTAGCCAAGAGTCACCACAAACCACCAGATTGTGAAGGAAACTATCTTAAACCAACCAGACTCAGTCAAGGCACCAGGTGACTAAGGCCTTTTTGTGATCCAGGCAACACAAATATATCAACTACCCAGCTGAATCCACCACACCAAAATGCAGATCCACAGAACTTCAAACAAATAAAATGGTGGTTTTTTATAAGCCAGTAAGGTTTAATTAGTTCCTTAAACAGCAAGTATTAACTGTTACACCTAAGTGAACAGAATTCACTTGTGTTTTTAACAAAATTACGTAGCGAGAGAAAATCTTAAATTACAAATCAAATACAATCAATAGAACTTCGCAATCTAATGCTAAATTTGGTGATGGACTAGGTTTAATATATCTCAGACGCTGGAAGAAACGAGCTAAGGTTGAAGGAATGGGACTGTGTTTGGAGAGTATTTTAATCTTCTCAAGTATGACAGGTCACTCCTGCACCCCAGACCACACTTTCAGGCCCCTTCAAATAAGGAATATTTCCTAAGTCCTTGCCTGTTCTTCTCAGCTGAATTCACCTCAACCTTCTGAAGGTTCGTCCAAACCTTCTGCTATCACCTAGTCTTTGCAAATCTTGTGCATTCTAGGGAGTAGAATTAATATTTCCTGAGCGAGGAAAACTGGGTTCTTCACCTGTGACCTTTTTTCCTCCTCTGAAGCACCAGTGAGAGGTTAGACCAGATGGCTGTTCTTTCAAGTGCACTTCTTATTCATAGGGAACCCTCCCTTTCAAACTTTGTAACACACAGTTAAGACTGAAGTACCGTTAAGGCTGACTACCATCACCCATTACACCATCTCCCTCGCGGAATCAGTGAGTTCTTCCCTGGAAACTAGGTCTCGTATAAACTTCTGTAAATGCGACCCAGGAGGACTAGGCAGGTCACACAGTGAAGGAGGGAACCAGAAACTTCACTTGCTAAAGAGACACCAGGAAACCCAACTAATACAAACGCCAAGTTTAAGACTAGAGGAGCACGCATTTCGCACTACTCCTCTGGGAATGGGGAACATCTCCCGAGAACTGTGTGTTAGCACCGGGACACATGGGCAAACTGAGCGACATGAGGGTTGGTAACCGGGTCCCTAAGCGGCAGGACAGGAGCTTGGCCTGCAGACTCCGGGCCCAGGGCCACCGGCCTCGCCTACCCGTTCCTGCGCCTCTAGAACCCGCTTCACTGACAGGACCACACGCCTGTCATCCTAGCCCCCGCCAGGGTCCACGGCCCGCACCTGCACTTCAGGCCCTGCCCGCCCGCGATGCGCCCACGCATCTGCTCCCACAACTAGGGAACACTGGTCCGGCCCCCCGGGATCCCCCGAGACCCACGGGTTCCTCTTCGCCCTCGCACCGACCCGCAGGGACATAGAACAAAGCCCCAAGCCGGCCCAGCTACAGGACCCTCTCTGGGTGCCGCACTTCCGGAGGAAAATGGCGGAGTGGGCCGGGCAGCGCAAGCGCAGAGAGAAAAGCTGGTTCCCAAGGTCCTTGATGGTAACATCATTGGAAGGTGACACTACATTTCCCATGAGGCTCTGCGGTCCCCCATTAGGAACCCACGCAGGACATTCTGTTTTGCCCAGCAGTTGAGTTCAGTTACCCAGAGACCCGGACTTAATGGATCAGGACTGGTCCCTACCCAGGTGACACAGATGTGGCATTCTGGTTCTTTATTAAATCCTGGTTTCACAGCCTGGGACATTGTGAAAAAAATGGAGAAATTTCAATAGAGGCCAATTGGTCTATGCTATTAATGAGTAACTTTTTTTTTTTGAGACGGAGTCTCACTGTCGCCCAGGCTGGAGTGCAATGGTGCAATCTCAGCTCACTGCAACCTCCGCTTCCCGGGTTCAAGCGATTCTCCTGCCTCAGCCTCCTGAGTAGCTGGGATTACAGGCGCGCACCACCACACTTGTCTAATTTTTGTATTTTTAGTAGAGACGGGTTTTCACCATGTTGGTCAGGCTGGTCTCCAACTCCTGACCTCGCGATCTGCCCTCCTCGACCTCCCAAAGTGCTGGGATTACAGGCGTGAGCCACTGCTCCCAGCCCTCAAGTATATTTTTATAGATGCATTCGAAAGCATGAAAAAAATCATGTCTCTATTTTACTTTAAAATTTTAAAAACACAACTAATGAACATGGTAATTCTCTTCCAATCCGTTATCTTTTCTCTCACTAAACTAATTTGTGAGCCTTCAATTTACACAGTTAGAAAATATGCTCTAGTGCATATACTAGGATAAAATAACAGGGTCATAAGACAGGTGCACTCCATAATCTTTGTGACAACTTACACTTCCAGTGTCTGATAAATATTTGCCCACAAACTCCCACGTTTCATCCATCCATCAATCAATCAAATCTACCTATCTTTATTTATTTATTGTGAGACAGACCTGAAATTTGCCTTTCCTTCCCTGATTTCTGCTACAAACTAGGCAAAGAGTTCTGCCTAGGGGTTTCTCAGAGCTCCAGCTACCACTGAGGTTCCTAACAGGGAAACGCAGGCTTGAATACTCAGGGTTGATGTGGGAGTGCGTGTGAAACGGGGGTGGGGTGAAAGGGCAGTGACGTTTGTAGGTGGGCAGATGGGGGTGTGAAGGGCTTTCAGGTAGGAGGCATGCAGGAAACTGGGAGAGGGAGCAAAAGTACCTCACTCCTCAGATCACCAGAAGACGCTCCCACCAGTGCCATCACAGCTTGCCAATGACATGGCAGCACGGGAAGTCCCCACCCCTTGCCATGGAAACAGCTGGAAGTTGCTGCCCATTTCTAGCTATTTCTGAATAACCCGCCCCTTAATTAGCATGCCATTAAAAGTGAATTATAAAAATGACTACAAGCCACCCCTAGGCTGCTGCTCTGGGAGCACAACCCACGGAGGGCTCTCTGCCCTGCCGAAGTGGACGCAGGGCTGTAACACCGCCAATGCCTCCGTAGAGCTGCTTTCTTCCACCACAGTCTTGCTTTTGGATTTCTTCCTGAGCGACGCCAAGAACCTGCCCTTCCTCAGTGTGACTCTTGCCTAAAACCTATCCCTGGTATTCTCTTTTCCTGAGCATGCCCTGACTTGTTCTTTCATCTCCTCTGATCTTGCAATTGGTCCTCAGTGACTCTATTCTGCAGATCCAGAAAACTCAACCTTAATCTTCCCAGAGCCCTGTTGTCTCCAATATTGGAATCTCTAGCCTTGTTTTCTCAGACGCCTAGATTACAGGCCTCTCTCTTGAACACCTATTGGTATGGTATCTGGGGATTCTTTAAATACACGGTGATTGGCAGGGGTTACATAGTGGAAATCAGTGCCTGACAATTCGCCTTCCAGGATATGGACTGTCATTCCCTCTCTTGGTTCCCCTCAGTCTCTTATGCATAAAAGTAGAGATTGTAATACTCATTTGAATTGCAGATACCTCAACCCGAACCCACCTAATATAATGTAAAAGCCAAGAATGCAACCCCTTTCCTCACCCCGTGAAGGTAAAGCCCTCAGAGCCAAGGAGAGAAGGCTCAGGGATGGTATCTGGGTGTTTCCAATGCTAACCATGTATTGTAGTTTTTAGTGTGCAAGTTTAAGCTTCCCCAGCTTTAATTCTATTGTAACAAGATTTATTTTTGTAATTCCATTTTTGGATTCTTGATTTATTGGTAAAGAAATACAGTTATTTTTGTATACCAGTCTTATATAGTGTTACATTCTTAAATTTGTTCATGAGTCCTAACACTTTTTAGTAAATTTCTTATGATTTTCTAAATGCAAGATCATGTCATCTGTACATAAAGACAACTGTACTTCTTCCTTTGCAATCTAGATGCCGTTTATTTATTTACGTTGCCAAGTTGTCCCAGCTACCACTGTTATCAAGTAAAAGGGTCTCACTGCCCAAAGCACAAGAAGCCGGTATCATGACACTGAGTTTTCGAGAAAAGAAAAAGTTTAAAGTCAAACCAAAACCTATGGGGTACAGGCCGGGCACAGTGGCTCATGCCTGTAATCCCAGCACTCTGGAAGGCTGAGGCAGGCGGATCACAAGGTCAGGAGATTGAGACCATCTTGGCTAACACGGTGAAACCCCGTCTCTACTAAAAATACAAAAAACAAAAATTAGCCGGGCGTGAAGGTGGGTGCCTGTAGTCCCAGACACTCGGGAGGCTGAGGGGGGAGAATGGCATGAACCCGGGTGGCGGAGCTTGCAATGAGCCGAGATCGCGTCACTGCACTCCAGCCTGGGCAACAGAGCGAGACTCCATCTCAAAAAAAAAAAAAAAAAAAAAACCTATGGGATAAAGTAAAAACAGTACTACAGTACTAAGAGGTAAGTTTGTAGAAAAAAGCACCTACATCAAAAAAAAGTAGAAAAGCTTCAAATAAACACCTTAATAATGCATCTTAAATAATTAGAAAAGCAAGAGCAAACCAAAACCAAAATTAGTAGAAGGAAACATAGCAAAGATCGGAGCAGAAATAAATGAAATTGAAATTTAAAAATATAAAATATCAATGAAATGAAAAGTTAATATTTTTAAAAGACCAACAAAGTCAACAAACATTTAACCAGACTAAGAAAAAAGAGAGAAGACTCAAATACATAAAAACAGAGATTAAAAAGGAGACACTATAACTGATACTGTGGAAATTCAAAGAATCATTAGAAACTATTATGACTGACTATATTCCAATAAATTGAAAAACCTGGAAGAAATGGCTGGGCACCGTGGCTCATGCCTGTAATCCCAACACTTCGGGAAGCCAAGGCAGGTGATCACCTGAGGTCAGGAGTTCAAGACCAGCCTGGCCAACATGGTGAAACCCCATCTCTACTAAAAATACAAAAATTAGCCAGGCATGATGGCATGCACTTGTTCTCCCAGCTACTCCAGAGGCTGAGGCAGGAAAATCACTTGAACCTGGGAGGCAGAGGTTGCAGTGAGCTGAGATTGTACCACGCTGTAGCCTGGGTGACAGAGCAAGACTCCATCTCAAAAAAAAAAAAAAAAACCTAGAAGAAATGGATAAATGAAATTGAAGCCAAAATAAAACATCTCCTAGCAAAGAAAAGCCTGGATTCAATGGCTTCACTGGCTTCACTGATTAATTTTACCAAACATTGAAGGCAGAATTACTATCAATCCTACTCAAACTATTCCAAAAAACAGAGAAGGCTGTAGTATTTCCAAACTCATCCTATGAAAAAGACCATTCATCATGTCTAAGTGGGATTTATCCCGAGGATGCCAACATGGTTCAACATATGCAAATCAATGAATGTGACACATCATATCAACAGAATGAAGGACAAAAACCATATGATAATTTCAATTGATGCTAAAAAGCATTTAATAAAATTCAACATCCCTGTGATAAAAAGAAACCCTCAAAAAAAAACTAGATATAGAAGGAACATACCACAACACAATAAAAACCATATGCAACAGACCCACAGCCAGTATCATCCTGAACAGGGAAAAGCTGAAAGCCTTTCTTCTAAGTTCTGGAACAAGACAAGAATGTCCACTTCCAACACTGTTACTTAACATAGTACTGGAAGTCCTAGCTAGAGCAATTCAGACAAGAGAAAAACAATAAAAGGGATCCAAATTAGAAAGAAGTAAAATTATTACTGTTTTCTTGTTTGCAGATGATTTGATCTTATATTTGGAAAATCCTAAGGACTCCACCAAAAAACTATTAGAACTGATCAACAAATTCAGAGTCACAGGATACAAAATCAAACTACAAAAGTCAGTAGCATTTCTAAATGACAAAAATGAACAATCTAAAGAAGAAAATCAAGAATGTAATCCCATTTACAATAACTACAAATAAAATAAAATATATGGGAATAAACATAACAGAAGAAGTGAAAGATCTCTACAATGAAAACTATAAAACATCAATGCAAAAAAATTAAAGAGGACACCAAAAAAAAAAAAAAAAGGAAAGATAGTCCATGTTCATTGATTGGAAGAGTAAATATTGTTAAAATACCCATACTTCACAAAGCGATCTACAGATTCAATGCAATCCCTATTGAAATACTAATAACACTCTTCACAGAAATAGAAAAAAATTCCTAAAATTTATACGAAACCATAAAAGACCCAGAATACCAAAAGCCATCCTGAGCAAAAAGAACAATACTGGAAGAATCACATCACCTGACTTTAAATTATAGTACAGAGCAATTGTAAACAAAACACCATGGTACTGGCATAAAACAGACACATAGACCAATGGAACAGAATAGAGAACCCAGAAATAAATCCATACATTTACAATTAACTCATTTTCAATGAAGGTGCCAAGAATATACATGGGGGAGAGGATAGTCTCTTCAACAAATTGTGCTGGGAAAACTAGATATTCATTGGCAGAATTTTTTTTTTTTTTTTTTTTTTGAGATGGAGTCTAGCTCTGTTGCTCAGGCTGGAGTGCAGTGGCGCGATCTGGGCTCACTGCAAGCTCCACCTCCCGGGTTCACACCATTCTCCTCCTCAGCCTCCCAAGTAGCTGGGAGTACAGGCGCCCGCCACCATGCCTGGCTAATTTTTTTTTTTTGTATTTTTAGTAGAGACGGAGTTTCACCATGTTAACCAGGATGGTCTCGATCTCCTGCCCCCATGATCTGCCCACCTCGGCCTCCCAAAGTCATTGGCAGAATAATTAAGAATAATTAAACTAGAACCCCCTCTTGCACTATATACAAAAATCAAATCCAAATGGGTTAAAGACTTAAATCAAAGACACGAAACTACTAAAAGTAAACATTAGGGAAACTCTCCAGGAAATTGGTCTTGGCACAGATTTCTTGAGTAATACTCCAAAAGCTCAGGCAACCAAAGCTAAAATGAACAAGTGGTATCACATCAAGTTCAAAAGTTTCTGCATAGTAAAGAAAACAATGGGCAAAGTGAAAAGACAATCCACAGAATGGAAGAAAATATTTGCAAACTATATATCTGACAAGGGATTAAAAACCAGAATATATAAGGAGCCCAAACAACTCTATAAGAAAAAAACTAACAATCCAATTATTTAAATGGGCAAAAGATCTGAGCAGACATTTCTCAAAAGAAGGCACCCAGGTCAGGCGCAGTGGCTCACACCTGTAATTCCAGCACTTTGGGGAGCCAAGACGGGTGGGACACTTGAGCCCAGGAGTTCAAGACCAACCTGAACAACATAGCAAATAATTTTAAAAACTACCTGGGCATGGTGATGCCTGCCTGTGGTCCCAGCTACTCAGGAGGCTGAGGTGGGAGGATTGCTTGAACCCTGGCAGTCAACATTACATTAAGCCGTGATCATACCACTGCACTCCAGCCTGGACGACAGAGTGAGACGCTGTCTCAAAAAATGAGCAAAAACAAAAAAGAAGATATATAAATGTCAAATAGGTATATGAAAAGATGCTCAATATCATTGATCATCAGAGAAATTGAAATCAAAACTACAATAAGATAGCAACTTACCCCATTAAAATGGCTTTTATGCAAAAGACAGGCAATAACAAATGCTTTCAAGAATGTGGGGAAAAGGGAACTCTCTTACTCTGTTGGTGGGAATGTAAATTAGTATATTCACTATGGAGAAAAATATGGAGGTCCCTCAAAAAATTAAAAATAGAACTATCATATGATACAGCAATCCCACTGCTGGGTATATACCCAAGAGAGGGAAAATTGGTATATCAAAGAGATATCTGCATTCCCATATTTATTTCAGCACTATTCATAATAGCCAAGATTTGGAAGCAACCTAAGTGTGCATCAACAGATGAAGGGATAAAGAAAATGTAGTACATATACACAACGGAGTACTCTTCGGCCATGAAAAAGAATAAGATTCTGTCATTTGCAACAACATGGATGGAACTAGAGGACATTATTTTAAGTAAAATGAGCCAGGCACAGAAAGACAGACTTTACATGTTCTCACTCATTTGTGGGAGCTAAAAATTAAAACAATTGAACTCATCAAGATAGAGAGTAGACTGAGAGTTTCCAGAGGCTGGGAAGAGTAGCGGTGTTACGGGATCTTTGGGGTGTTACTTTTCTGGACAGAAACCTCTATGGCTGGTGGCACCTTTGCCCGAGCTTTGCTGGGCCCTGCACACTCAGCCTGGCAGGCTGTGCTCAGCTCATGCTACCACGTTGGATCCCATGCCTGCCAAGGGAGACTGCGTGGAGTGGCAAGGGGTGTGTGAGTGAGCATGGGGTCTGGCCACTGTGCAGTCAGATCTGCTGGCTGCTGCAGTGGGGCAGGTGGCTCCAAGTGCCAACACGGACGCCAGCTCTCCACAAGGCTGTGGCTGGATCACGGGCACCTCAACCAGCTTCCATAGCTGGCACACTGGGAACACAGTGGCACCCAGAATCTTGGAGATATCAGGAACCAAAGGGCCCCAAAGAAGGACCTGGCTCGGGGAGCTCCCAGGTCTGGGCTCCCCAAAGGGCCACAGCTCTTCTTTCCTTCTCTTTGCCCACAATGTGGTGAGCAAGGGGCATGTCTCAGCCCTGTTTGTGTTACAGCTCTTTCAGCCTCTTCCCTAGGATTTGTCATAATTAATTCCCATATCATCTTATTTTTTTACATGTGTTTGAACTTCAGAAGATGTATGGATCTAAACACAACATGATGTGTTAGCTAGCTGCCATATGAGCTTCTCCCTGTTTCACCACTATGTAGCCTAAAGTTATTCCGTCATCCATGACTATCCTGTCTAAAGAGTCTGAAGATCTTTATTTGGTAGCTATGGCTTCAGCTAGTTCATTTGCTAAGTTACCTAGAGTGGTTGACAGATTTCTAATTATACGTTCATGAGAGGTTACTCCCCACCATTGCAAGAGACTTCTGCCAAACATAGGCCAAAATTCATCTCCTTGGTTTGCAGGTACAGTTTGTCTAATCCTGGAAAATAATTTCAATGAACTACTTCAGCGTTCAGAAACATTGGAGTTATAAATAGAAAGAGGAAGAGCCACATAACCTAATAGACAATTACCTCTCATATGCCAGTGGTCAACACATTCATAAGCCCATGTGTGCTTGATCCAGGGACCACACAGGGTCCCTGATGGATTCTGAAATTTAAGGCTTTGGATTACTGGTAACAGAGACATGTTAAAGTACATGTCTTCAGTCTTGAGTAGAGTGTAATCAGTCTGATTTCTTTTTTTTTAATGAGACAAACATCAGGTAAAGACCTTGACAAGAAGGAAGAGAAATCCCGAGATTCTATAATCATAATAATCGAATTGTAATTGCTAGTTTAAGTAGTCCTTCAAAAATACATCTCATTCCTGACAGGATAAAACAAGTTTTATAAAATATATTATATCTGGGTTCACTAGGGAACACTTGGAGCCAGGAAATAATTCAGGATTCAGACCAAATTATAGGCAAATAATAAAAACTCAGAAAAAATGATCAGGGCTGGAATCTAATAGCATATGTCACAGTTTTCTTTTGGAACATAAATTTTCTCTCTCTAGTCCATCATTTTATCAAAGACAAATCATAGTAGGACAAATTTCTGTGCAAAATAAGTTTTAGTCTTATCATACCTGGCCTGATTATTTGCATAAAGTGCAGCAAGAATATTTATTGACCATATAGGCTTCTTAAAATTGGCTTTGTTGGAACTATTTAATAAGGAATCTTAGACTTTTAAAAGCCTTGAGACTAGCCAAGTCAAAGATTTGCATCAGACTGTGTCTGTAATACTTTTTTTAACCTACTTTTTTTTTATTATACTTTAAGTTGTGGGGTACAAGTGCAGAATGCACAGGTTTGTTACATAGGTATACATGTGCTGTGGTGGTTTGCTGCACCCATCAACCCATCACCTATATTAGGTATTTGTCCTAATGCTTTCCCTCCCCCCGCCCCCACCCCCCAACACGCCCCAGTGTGTGATGTTCCCCTCCCTGTGTCCTTGTGTTCTCGTTGTTCAACTCCCACTTATGAGTGAGAACATGTGGTGTTTTGTTTTCTGTTCTTGTGTTAGTTTGCTGAGAATGACGGTTTCCAGCTTCATCCATGTCCCTACAAAGGACATGAACTCATCCTTTTTTATGGCTGCATAGTATTCTATGGTGTATATGTGCCACATTTTCTTTATCCAGTCTATAATTGATGGGCATTTGGGTTGGTTCCAAGTCTTTGTTATTGTGAACAGTCCTGCAATAAAAATACGTGTGCATTTGTCTTTATGGTAGAATGATTTATAATCCTTTGGGTATATACCCAGTAATGGGATTTCTGGGCCAAATGGTATTTCTAGTCCTAGATCCTTGAGGAATAGCCACACTGTCTTCCACAATGGTTGAACTAATTTACACTCCCACCAACAGTGTAAAAGCATTCCTATTTCTCCACACCCTCTCCAGTATCTGTTGTTTCCTGACTTTTTAATGATCACCATTCTAACTGGCATGAGATGGTATCTCATTGTGGTTTTGATTTGCATTTCTCTAATGACTAGTCATGATGAGCTTTTTTTCATATGTTTGTTGGTTGCATAATTGTCCTCTTTTAAGAAGTGTCTGTTCACATCCTTTGCCCACTTTTTGATGGGATTGTTCTTTCTTGTAAATTTGTTTAAGTTCTTTGTAGATTCTGGATATTAGCCCTTTGTCAGATGGATAGATTGCAAAAATTTTCTCCCATTTTGGAGGTTGCTCGTTCACTCTCACAGTTTCTTTTGCTTTCCAGAAGCGCTTTAGTTTAATTAGGTCCCATTTGTCAATTTTGTTTTTTTTGTCATTGTTTTTGGTGTTTTAGTCATGAAGTCTTTGCCCATGCCTACGTCCTGAATGGTATTGCCTAGGTTTTCCTCTAGGGTTTTTATGGCTTTAGGTATTAAGTTTAAGTCTTTAATCCATCTTGAGTTAATTTTTATATAAGGTGTACGGAAGGGATCCAGTTTCAGCTTTCTGCCTAAGGCTAGCCAGTTTTCCCAACACCATTTATTAAATAAGGAATCCTTTAACCAGTGCTTGTTTTTCTCAGGTTTGTCAAAGATCAGATGGTTGTAGATATGTGGTGTTGTTTCTGAGGGTTCTGTTCTGTTCCTTTGATCTATATATCTGTTTTGGTACCAGTACCATGCTGTTTTGGTTACCGTTGCCTTGTAGTATAGTTTGAAGTCAGGTAGCATGATGCTTCCAGCTTTGTTCTTTTTGCTTAGGATTGTCTTGGCTATTCGGGCTCTTTTTTGATTCCATATGAAATTTAAAATATATTTTTCCAATTCCGTGGAGAAAGTCAATGGTAGTTTAATGGGGATAGCAGTGAATCTATAAATTTCTTTGGGTAGTATGGCCATTTTCATGATATTGATTCTTCCTATCGATGAGCATGGAGTGTTTTTCCATTTGTTTGTGTCCTCTCTTTTTCCTTGAGGAGTGGTTTGTAGTTCTCCTTGAAGAGGTCCTTCACATCATTGTAAGTTGTATTCCTAGGTATTTCATTCTTGTTGTAGCAATGGCGAATGGGAGTTCACTCATAGTTTGGCTCTCTGTTTGTCTGTTATTGGTGAATAAGAAAGCTTGTGATTTTTGCACATTGATTTTGTATCCTGAAACTTTGCTGAAGTTGCTTATCAGCTTAAGGAAATTTTGGGCTGAGACGATGGGGTTTTCTAAATATATAATCATGTCATCTGCAAACAGAGACAATTTGACTTCTTCTTTTCCTAATTGAATACGCTTTATTTCTTTCTCTTGCCTGATTACCCTGGCCAGAGCTTCCAACACTATGTGGAATAGGAGTAGTGAGAGAGGGCATCCTTGTCTTGTGCTGATTTTCAAAGGGAGTGCTTCCAGTTTTTGCACATTCAGTATGTTATTGGCTGTGGGTTTGTCATGAATAGCACTTAATATTTTGAGATATGTTCCATCGATACCAGTTTATTCAGAGTTTTTAGCATGAAGGGCTGTTGAATTTTGTCAAAGGCCTTTTCTGCATCTATTGAGATAATCATGTAGTTTTTGTCATTGATTCCGTTTATATGATGGATTACATTTATTGATTTGCATGTTGAACCAGCCTTGCATCCCAGGGATGAAGTCAACTTGGTCATGGTGGACAAGATTTTTGATGTGCTGCTGGATTCAGTTTTCCAGTATTTTATTCAGGATTTCTGCATTGATGTTCATCAGGGCTATTGGCCTAAAATTTTCTTTTTTTGTTGTGTCCCTGCCAGGTTTTTGTATCAAGATGATCCTGGCCTCATAAAATGAATTAGGGAGGATTCTCTCTTTTTCTATTGTTTGGAATGGTTTCAGAAGGAATGGTACCAGCTCCTCTTTGTACCTCTGGTAGAATTTGGCTGTGAATCCGTCTGGTCCTGGATTTTTTTTCGTTGGTAGGGTATTGATTAATGCCTCAATTTCAGAACCTGTTATTGGTCTTTTCAGGAATTTGATTTCTTCCTGGTTTAGTCTTGGTAGAATTCTCTGATGATAATTTGTATTTCTGTGGGACCAGTGGTGATATCCCCTTAATCATTTTTTATTGCATCTATTTGATTCTTCTCTCTTTTCTTCTTTACTAGTCTGGCAAGTAGTCTGTTTTGTTGATCTTTTCAAAAAACCGGCTCCTGGATTCATTGATTTTTTGAAGAGTTTTTCGTGTCTCTATCTCCTTCAATTCTGCTCTGATCTTATTTATGTCTTGCCTTCTGCTAGCTTTTGAATTTACTTGTTCTTGCTTCTCTAGTTCTTTTAATTTTGATGTTAAGGTGTCAATTTTAGATCTTTCCTGCTTTCTCTTGTGGGCATTTAGTGCTATAAATTTCCCTCTACACACTGCTTTAAAAGTGTCCTAGGGATTCTGGTACGTTGTGTCTTGGTTCTCACTGGTTTTGAAGAACATCTTTATTTCTGCCTTCATTTCGTTATTTAGCCAGTAGTCATTCAGGAGCAGGTTGCCCAGTTTCCATGTAGTTGTGAGGTTTTGAGTGAGTTTCTTAATCCTGTATACTAATTTGAATACATTGTGGTCTGAGAGACTGTTTGTTATGATTTCCATTATTTTGCATTTCCTGAGGAGTGTTTTACTTCCAATTATGTGGTCAATTTTAGAATAAGTGCAATGTGGTGCTGAGAAGAAGGTACATTCTGTTGATTTGGGGTGGAGAGTTCTGTAGATATCTTTTAGGTCCACTTGGTCCAGAGCTGAGTTCAAGTCCTGGATATTCTTGTTAATTTTCTGTCTCATCTATCTAATATTGACAGTGGAGTGTTAAAGTCTCCCACTATTATTGTGTGGGAGTCTAAGTCTCTTTGTAGGTCTTTAAGAACTTGCTTTATGAATCTGAGTGCTCCTGTATTGGGTGCATATATGTCTAGGATAGTTAGCTCTTCTTGTTGCATTGATCCCTTTACCATTATGTAATGCCCTTCTTTGTCTCTTTTTATCTTTGTTGGCTTAAGATCTGTTTTATCAGAAACTAGGATTGCAACCCCTGCTTTTTGTTGCTTTCCACTTGCTTGTTAAATGTTCCTTCATCCCTTTATTTTGAGCCTATGTGTATGAGATGGGTCTCCTGAATACAGCACATTGATGGGTCTTGACTCTTTATCCAATTTGCCAGTCTGTGTCTTTCAATTGGGGGCATTTAGCTCATTTACATTTAAGGTTAATATTGTTATGTGTGAATTTGATCCTGTCATTATGATACTAGGTGGTAATTTTGCTCATTAGTTGATGCAGTTTTTTCATAGTGTCAATTGTCTTTATAATTTGGTATGTTTTTGCAGTGGCTGTTACCAGTTGTTCCTTTCCATGTTTAGTGCTTCCTTCAGGAGTTCTTGTAAGGCAGGCCTGGTGGTGACAATATCTCTCAGCATTTGCTTGAAAAGGATTTTATTTCTCCTTCAATTATGAAGCTTAGTTTGGCTGGATATGAAATTCTGGCTTGAAAATTCTTTTCTTTAGGAATGTTGTATATTGGCCCCCACTCTCTTCTGGCTTGTAGGCTTTCTGCCAAGAGATCCACTGTTAGTCTGATGGGCTTCCCTTTGTGGGTAACTCAACCTTTCTCTCTGGCTGCCCTTATTATTTTTTCCCTCATTTCAACCTTGGTGAATCTGATGACTTTGTGTCTTGGGGTTGCTCTTCTTGAGGAGTATCTTAGTGGCGTTCTCTGTATTTCCTGAATTTGAATGTTGGCCTGTCTTCCTGGGTTGGGGAATTTCTCCTGGATAATATCCTTAAGAATGTTTCTCAACTTGGTTCCATTCTCTCTGTCACTTTCAGGTACACCAATCAAACATAGACTCAGTGTTTTAACATAGTCCTCTATTTCTTGGAGGCTTTGTTCATTTCTTTTCACTCTTTTTTCTCTAATCTTGTCTTCTTGCTTAATTTCTTTGAGTTGATCTTCAATCTGTGATATCCTTTCTCCTGCTTGATTGATTCAGCTATTGATACTTGTGTATGCTTCATGAAGTTCTTGTGCTGGGTTTTTCAGCTCCATCAGGTCATTTATATTCTTCTCTAAACTGGTTATTCTAGTTAACAATTCGCCTAACCTTTTTTTTCAGGCTCTTAGCTTCCTTGCATTGGGTTAGAACATGCTCCTTTAGCTCGGAGGAGTTTGTTATTACCCGCCTTCTGAAGCCTACTTCTGTCAATTCGTCAAACTCATTGTCTGTCCAGTTTTGTTCCCTTGCTGGCGGGGAGTTGTGATCTTCTGGAGGAGAAGAGGCATTCTGGCTTTTGGAGTTTTCAGCCTTTTTGCACTGGTTTCTCCCCGTCTTTGTGGATTTATCTACCTTTGGTCTTTGATGTTGGTGGTGTTGATACTATTCCTTTCTGTTTGTTAGTTTTCCTTCTAACAGTCAGGTCCCTCTGCTGCAGGTTTGCTCGAGTTTGCTGGAGGTCCACTCCAGACCTGTTTGCCTGGGTGTCACCAGTGGAGGCTCAGTTGGAAATGCATGAACAACCTGCCTTCTGTGTTGATCTCACTGGGTGCTGCAGGCCGGAGCTGTTCCTATTCAGACATCTTGCCAGCTCTCCTGTAATACTTTTATGAATGGGTGTAGTCCTCTCTTCTCAAGGTCCCCAAATATCTTGAGGTTCCTGGGCCCGTCAGAAAGTGACATTCTTTACTTCTTACCACAAGGACAGCAAATTTGTAAAGGATCCTTGTAGACAGGACATCAAGCCAGTCATTCTAAGGGGCTTTGTATTGGTGCTATAAAGTCAACCTCAATTCCTTAAAGTGGTCTGGTTGTATCTGCCATTCAAGTTAAAGCCTTGATAAAACAAACAGTGTCTCCAATTGAATCTTGTTACCAAAAACAGATTCTTATTGAAATTATGCAAATAATTATATTGCCATAATTTAAGAATGCTCACGAATGGCTTCTGAATTCTGGAGAAATCAGCTAGAGAGACAGATAAATGGCTCAAATTTTTGTTCACAATGTAGTTTATCTAATATATTGTAAGTTAAAAATAGCTGAAAAGAAAAAAAATTCTTGACTTTGGAAAACAAAACATAAAGAGAATCAACAATGTTTCCAATGGAAAGGCCATGAATAAAATCTTTTCCTTCTTTTATAAGTTCAGTCCCATGTAACTACAGCTTGTTCTGCTTGATTTCAAATAGCAATTCTCATTCAGTTTTTTGTGTTCTGCTTGATTTCAATTGGAAATTCTCATTCAGCTTTTTAGAGTCCTGGAAGATTTTCATAGTCCAATGGTATGATCCCCAAAGTTATCTGAAACCATATTTAAGAGAACTTGTCAGAGTCCTTTCCATTAAAAGTAATTTAGATGATAGCTGATTGTAAAGACTTTTTTTTTTTTTTGAGACACGGTCTGGCTCTATCACTCAGGATGGAGTGCAGTGACATGATCTTGGTTCACTGCAATCTCTCCCACCCAAACTCTAGCCATCCTCCTACCTCAGCCTCTGAAGTAGCTGGGACCATAGGCATGCACCATCATGCCTGGCTAATTTTTGTATTCTTGTAGAGAGAGGATTTTACCATGTTGCCCAGGCTGCTTTAAAACTTCTGAGTTTAAGCAATTCACCCACCTCGGCCTTCCAAAGTGCTGGGATTTTTACACGCGCGAGCCACCGTGCCCTGCACGGCCTTCAGCACCGCGCCTGGCCTGTAAAGGGTTTTAGAGAAGAACTTTAAACAATCACCGTGGATGACAAAAACTTAGAAGAGCCTTTGGTTAAAATCCAGTGGAAGTTCTCAACTGGTGAGGAAATTTAGTTATTTCTATTATATGTAGCATTTTAAGATAACAGCCAGAATCATGACTGACGGCAACACATCAGATCCATCAGACTTCCACAAATTTTATACAATCTTTAGAATATTTATATTAATAATATATCTATACATATACAACTTTAGAGAATATTTAACATCATCAAAATTATCACTGATACCATATCAGATTTTTATAATTTATATAACATTTAAAATATTTATATTAATAATATACCTATAAATGTAACCAAAAGAAGATTTAGGCCAGGCACAGTGGCTCATGCCTGTAATCCCAACACTTTGGGAGGCCAAGTTGGACAGATCATCAGAGGTCAGGATTTCGACACCAGCCTGGCCGACATGGAGAAATCTTGTCTCTACTAAAAATACAAAATTAGCCGGGCGTGGTGGCATGTGTCTGTAGTCCCAGCTACTTGGGAGGTTGAGGCAGGAGAATCGCTTGAACCTTGGGGCAGAGGTTGCAGTGAACCTAGATCATGCCACTGCACTCCAGCCTGGGTGACAAAGCAAGATTCTGTCTCAGAGAGAAAAAAAAAAGAAGATTTAGTGTTACTTATCTTTTGGCAATGCTTGCCATACAATGTTATCAACTAAGTTTTAACAAAGATGTAAAAAAATTGAAAAGATTTGACCAAAACAGAATGACAGTTTATTGTTTTTAATTTTATTATTTTTTTGAGACAGGGTCTCACCCTGTTGCCCAGGCTGGAGTGCAGTGGTGAAATCATGGCTCACTGCAGCCTCAACCTCCCAGGATCAGGTGATCCTCCACCTTAGTCTCCCAAGTAGCCAGGACTATGAGCACGTGCTACCACACACAGCTAGCTTTTTTATTTTTAGTAGAGATGGGGTTTTGCCATTTTGCCCAGGCTGGAGTTGAACTCCTGGGCTCAACTGATCCACCCACCTTGGCTTCCCAAAGGGCTGGAATTACAGACATGAGCTGCTGCACACAGCCACATGTCATTTTTAAATAGCAGTCATTCATTTAATTAGCATGACAACCAAAAGACATCAAAAGCAACATAGAAGGTTACATGGATGTGAAAACTGAAAACCCTCAGTTTTCCCAAGTAATTAAAAAAAAATAAAGGCAACACATGGATTATCTTGATAAAACCTAAAATCTTCATTACAGGCCAGTCATTTAAAGGGTAAAACTCCTGTGGCATAACTGTGTCTTCTTATGGGAAGCTAATTTAAATCACTTGGAAGTCAATTCCGATGACAAGGAGACTTTAATTTAATTAGACATAGAAAGAGTGTGTCCAGGGTCATGAGTGAGCATAATATTACAAAGGAATGTAAACAGGAAAACCAGAGCATAGAGCAGTGGGGATCCATAGCTCACAATGATAGCATGGAAGTTTCCTGGTTACATGAAGTAATTAAGACATATTTAAAAGCCAAGAATACAAAATTAGACCTGATGAAAAAGCTGAAGGAGTTATCATCCCAGCCAAGCAGGAAACCCAAGCCTTTTATTCCTTCTCAAGAAGGAACAGGAGACAGTGATGTGATCTGTGAGTCATGTGTAACATGAAAGTACAGGAGAAGTTGAACTTCTGATATACAAATCTGAAAAGTTTTTATAGTAATAGATTTCAGGATTAAAAGTCAATATTTATTACCTCTTCTTATGAGCAAATAAATACATTAAGAAAACCTTGTTGTTTTAACCAAAATTTTTAGTATTTTATCACTCTTTTTAATATTACAGCTAATTTAAATAAACTTTATAAACAATCTATCTGATCTCAATCAGTTTTGACCTCGATGTAAGATTTACATAAACTTTTAATAACCTTGTATAATTTTTTCATCTTTCCCAACTTTTTATACACATTTAGTTTTATCTATCTTTTTTATTCCTTCAATTTAAAATAATCCTTAAAAATCTCTAAGCGAATTTACTTTCTCTGAAAAAAAAACCGGTATACATTTTGCATACAGAATTGTTTCTCTTGTATCTAGTAGTCTTAATCACATATATCTACCAAGATATTAACACTTAGTAACCCTTATTTTAATAGAAAACCTAGGAAGCAAGAAATCTTGAATTGTCATATAGCAGTATCTTACATATGAGAATAATTTCATAATTTAGAATTATGTGTTCCTAAAACATATTTTTTAACATGGATTTTCGCTCTTGTTGCCCAGGCTGGAGTGCAATGGTGCGATCTCATCTCACTGCAACCTCCGCCCCCAAGGTTCAAGCAATTCTCCTGCCTCAGCCTCCCGAGTAGCTGGGATTACAGGAACCCACCACCACACCTGGCTAATTTTTTGTATTTTTTAGTAGAGATGGGGTTTCACCATGTTGATCAGGCTGGTCTTGAGCTCCTGACCTCGGGTGAGCCACCCGCCTTGGCCTCCCAAAGTGTTGGGATTACAGGCGTGAGCCACAGTGCCTGGGCTAAAATGTAAGTCTTAAATTGGAAATAACCCAGATATTTAATGAGTATCTATTATTTAATTTAACATAACTAAAATTTCAAAAATAGGCTGGGCATGGTGGCTCACACCTGTAATCCCAACACTTTGGGAGGCCAAGGCAGGAGTATCATGAAACCAGCCTGAGCAAAATAGTGAGATGCTGACTCTACAAAAAAAATAAAAGTTAGCTGACCATGGTGGTGCATACCTGTAATTAACAGCTACTTGGGAGGCTGAGATGGGAGGATCCCTTGAGTGCAGGAGTTCAAGGTTGCAGTGAGCTGTGATCATGCCACTGCACTTCAGCCTGGGTGACAGACAGAGACACTGTCTCAAAAAAATTTCAAAAATACATTAAGATGTCTTGTATAGACATTTATCCATTTACATTTACTTATTTTTGACAGTTTATCTAGAGTATTTGTGAGAACTGAGGTATTAGACAAAGCTAGTCATCATTTCTAGGTTATTTTATTGTTAACCATGTTATAGCCTGTGAATATCAGGTGTTCACATAAGTGAGGACTTCAAAGTTAAATACATGGGTATTTTACCAATAACACAGAAAATTCCATTATTTTTGTTCAACAAACCATATTAAATTGGCCTTATGTATTTAAAAAATCACATAAACAAATATTCTTTTTTTTCCTGTGTTTACAGCTTTATAACCTTCATGCCAAACCCTAGCACCTTAAAATATCTAGCAAATGTAAATATAAAACACAAAAATGTATGCTGAAAATTCTGAAGACATTTCTATTTTTATTTTATCAATACTTTTTAAATTATTTGTATTTATAAAAGAACTCTTTTGTCTGGGCACAGTGGTTCATGCCTGTATCCCAGCAGTTTGAGAGGCTGCGGCAAGAGGATCACTTGAGCTCAGGAGTTTGAGACCAGCCTGGGCAACATAGTGAGACCCAATCTCTACTAAGAATAAGATAAACAATTACCAGGCATGGTGGTGCATGCCTATTGTCGCCTCTACTAGAGAGGATGAGGCAGGAGGATTGCTTGAGCCTGGGAGTTTGAGATAACAGTGAGCTATGATCCCACTACTGCACTCCAGTCTGGGGAACAGATTGAGACCTTAGAGTGAGACCTTGTCTCAAAAAGAGAAAAAAATAAAGAATTGTTTCATTCTTTTGTTTTTCTTCAGCCAAGTAACCTTGAATTGGTAACACCACAGACAGTAAGTCTTATCTCAACACCAGTAGACAAATCAGCAGATTCAAAGTAGGCAGGGAAATAAAAAGATAGGCAAAAGAACTGAGACTTTTTCATTTTAGGGTTTTTAAAAATAGTAACTATTTGAGTTCTGAATTTTCTTTCATGTAATTTGGCCGTCAGGTTTAAAGTGTGCACTAGAGGCCAGGTGCAGTGGCTCATTCATGTAATCCCAACACTACGGGAGGCTGAGGCAGGTGGATCACTTGAGGCCTGGAGTTTGAGACCAGCCTGGCCAACGTGACAAAACCCCATCTCTACTGAAAATACAAAAATTAACTGGGTGTGGTGGTGTGCACCTGTAGTCTCAGCTATTCAGGAGGCTGAGGAAGGATAATCGCTCAAACCTGGGAGGCGGAGGTTGCAGTGAGCCGCGATTGTACCACCATACTCCATCCTGGGCAACAGAGCAAGACTCTGTGTCAAAAAGAAAAAGAATATATATATATATATATATACAGGCTGGGAACAGTGGCTCATGCCTGTAATCCCAGCAGTTTGGGAGGCCAAGGCAGGTGGATCACTTGAGATCAGGAGTTTGAGACCAGCCTGGCCAACATGGTGAAACCTCATCTCTACTAAAACCACAAAAATTAGCCGGGTATGGTGGTGCACACCTGTAATCACAGCTACTCAGGAGGCTGAGACAGGAGAATTGCTCGAACCTGGGAAGTGGAGGTTGCAGTGAGCCAAGAACACAACACTGTACTCCAGCGTGGGCAACAGAGTGAGACTCTGTCTCAAAAACATGTGTGTATGTGTGTGTGTGTGTGTGTGTGTGTATGTGTGTGTGTGTGGCTAGAATGGTCCATAATATATAGCCAGCTCCAGTCCCAGAAAACCTAGCAAGCTTAAGGTTAGAGCTTCTCATTTTGGCCTTTTCAAGATTAATTCTCCTTTAGTAAGCCCTTCCCCTCTAGGGAGGTACTTGCCGGAGCGCTGCCTGAAGTTGGTGTTCTGATGCCCTGTTGTTTCTGTTCTGAATGGTTTATTTCTCATTATAAGAGCTCAGCAAAGCAGGCAGAGTTAAAAAGCAGAGACATGAAGGCTTTAAAATCATGGACTTCACTCCTACACTGAATCTCAGGTCCCCAGAAGGACAGAAACACCATGGGACCACAGCAAAGGCAGAAGGAGGAATGAGAGAGGGAGGTGGACAGAACAACAAACAGGAGTTGGCTCTCAATTTTTCAAATGTGCCATTTTGTTTAGGTTTTTCTAGTTTATGGAGTCTCTTTGTTCCAGTTGAGCACACAGATAAACTAGAGATCTCACAAGGCTTTTGCTGAGAACATCAAAGCCTTTAACCTCTGTTGGGCCAAATATTTAGACCAAAAATACAGATAGACACACAAAAGCCAGAACCAGACCAGATTAAGTATCTCAGTGGCTACAGCCTTTATTCCCTTTATTCTTTAGGATTCGAACTCAAACCAGATTCAGGATTCTAACCCAACCAGGACACCCCTGGGGTGAAACTGAAACCCCACAGTCTAGACAAGGTTGGGGGTCTTTTTTTATTTTTTATTTTTTTGAGATGGAGTTTCACTCTTGTTGCCCAGGCTGGAGTGCAATGGTGCAATATCACCTCACTGCAACCTCTGTCTCTCAGGTTTAAGAACTTATCCTGCCTCAGTCTCCCAAGCTGGGATTAGAGGCTTGTGCCACCATGCCCAGCTCATTTTGCATTTTTAGTAGAGACGGGGTTTCTCAATGTTGGTCAGGCTGGTCTCGAACTCCCAACCTCAGGTGATCCACACACCTAAGCCTCCCAAAGTGTTGGCATTACAGGCATGAGCCACCGCGCCCGGCCTGCTTGTTCTTTTCATTTCATCCTTATCTCCGAATACAGGAGAGTAGCTGATTTGGTGTTCACTAACAAGCACAGAAGCTTTGTTACATTTACAGTGTCATTCTTGGGAAAACCTGAAGTTTTGCCTCCCGAGTTCACACCATTCTCCTGCCTCAGCCTCCTGAGTAGCTGGGACTATAGGCGCCCGCCACCTCACCCAGCTAATTTTTTGTATTTTTAGTAGAGACGGGGTTTCACCGTGTTAGCCAGGATGGTCTCGATCTCCTGACCTTGTGATCCACCCACCTCGGCCTCCCAGAGTGCTGGGATTACAGGCTTGAGACACCACGCCCAGCCAGAGGCTCTAATTTCAATGATGATTGTGCTTTTTATCTCTTCCTCAGCATCTGGTTCATGATAAAATTTCAGGAATCTTGATGGTATCTAAATCAATTGTTGATTCTGTCCTGGAGAAACACAAGCATAACCTCTATGCCAAGTTATAATTTTACCTATTTCCCAACTTTTTGTTATTGGATCTCTCCACCAAACCAGTTATTCTGCTTCTGTCTTCGCAGCTGCTTTCTGTAGATGCTGTTCAGCTGCTGATAACATCTGGCCTTTGGGCAGGCTTAAAAAATTGAAAGTTAATAATGCTAGATTCAATTGTATATGGGCTATCCCTTAATCCCTGTTTCTCCCCCTTTTTTGTTTTTATTATCAGTTGTTCATCTGTATGAAATTGTAACTGAGCATTTTCAATTAACTGTGTGGAGTGAACCATGTATGAAGAATCAGAAATCACATTAATAGGCATATCAAAAGCAGTCAATACCTCAATTACAGCTACAAGCTCCACTTTTTGAGCTGAAGTATAGGGTGTCTGGAAAACTTTACCTTTTGATCCAGAATAAGAAGCTTTACCATTACTATACCCATCTGTGAAACAATGAAAACACTTCGCAGGCTGCAGGTTGCTTACTGCAGGAATTGTAAATGCAAACCGTTCACAGTATTGCTCAGCTAAAAGGGTAGTAAAGAAACAGTCTTTTAAATCTGTGACTATTAAAGGCCAATTTTTTGGAATTATAGTAGGAGAAGGCAATCCTGGCTGTTATGTTTCCATAGGTTGTATAACTGAATTGATGGCTCTTAAGTCAGTTAACATTCTCCATTTACCTGATTTTTTCTTAATTATGAAAACTGGAGAATTCCAAGGGGAAAATGTTGGAGCTATGTGCCCATTTTCTAATTGTTCAGTAACTATTTTCTCTAAAGCTTCCAGTTTCTCTTTGCTTAGCAGCCATTATTCTATCCAAATTGGCTTATCTGTTAACCATTTTAAAGGTATAGGTTCTGGAGGCTTAACAATGGCCACCATCAAAAATGATATCCTAATCTTTGGCAAGAACTTTGTCTTTCCGTTTGAAGCAGTTCTTTCAAACCTTGCAAATTTTTTTTCTACTCCCATTCCACGGACATGCCCCATTTCGTGCATCATATGCTGACTTTGAGGGCTGTGTAATTGTTATGGAATTAGAACTTGTGCTCCCCATTGTCATAATAAATCTCTCCCCCATAAATTTTTAGGTACAGAAGTTGTAATTGGTTGAATAGTCCCAGGTTGTCCATCGGGCCCTTCACAATGCAAAATATAGCTACTTTGATATACTTCTGGGGCTTTAGCAGTTTCCACTGTGTTAAATTGAGTGGGCTGAATTGGACATGTGGACGGCCAGTGCTGTAGAGAAATGATTGAAATGTCTGCTCCTACCAAAAAAAAAATATTATCTACCAAACCTTTAAAGTTCTTTCCCTGGATAGTTATTTAAAAGGTAGGATGTTTATCAGTAATTTGATTTACCCAATAAGCTGCCTTGCCTTTTTTATTTGTGCTTCCAAATCCTCCAGTTCATTTAATTTCACTTTTTCCCATTCCCACATACGGCACACTCAGGAGCTGTGCTATGCGCACTTCTGGCTGGTGCTTTCCAGGGAACAGAAGTAGATATCACAATTTGAATTTCCTCATTGTAATCTGAATCAATGACTCCAGTGTGTATTTGTACCCCTTCTAAACTTAAACTAGACCTTCTGAAAAGTAATCCCATTGTCCCTGTTGGCAACGGTCCACAGACTCCTGTTGGGACCTTTTGCGGGGGTTCCCCAGGCAGAAGGCTCACAGCTTTTGTGCAGCATAAATCTACTGTGGCACTATGGCCTGTGGTGGGGGACAGATAATGTACGGGGGTGAGGGAATAGCCTGAGCTGGAAATGCCCTGGTTTAGAACAGGGCCTGGGATGGGCCCCTCAGGGAGTTTCCTGAAATCGGATTCCCTTCTTTATCAAACCTAGAGTGACACTGATTAGCCCAAAGTTTTCCTATTTTACATTTTGGACATATTTCAGGATCAGCAGTTTTCTTTTTTCCCCTATCTGGTGGCCTTACTCGCTGATTTTTTTTCTACATTCTTTTTAGTATGACCATGCTTCCCACAGTTAAAACAAGCTCCAGGAAATGGAGTATTTCCTTTATCCACTCTCAGTCCTGCCATCGCCTGTGCCAACAAAGTAGCTTTATGTAGATTACCTCTGATACTATCACAGGCCTTGATATAATCAACTAAATGTGCTTTCCCTCTGATAGGTCGCAGAGCAGCCTAGCAATAGTGATTAGCATTGTCAAAAGCTAATAACTGCAAAAGTATATCCTAAGCAGCCAAATCTGCAATCATCTTTTTAAGAGATTCCTGTAACCAAGCTACAAAATCCACGCATGTTTCTCTTGGTCCCTGTTTTATAGCACTAAAGGAAGGGTATTGTTCTCCACATGAAGTGATTTTTTCCAAGCTCTAATGCACACTCCTCTAAGCTGTTCTATGGCATCATCTTGCATGACCACTTGTGCATGTAAACCAGCCCAGCCACCAACCCCCAAAAGTTGGTCTGCAGTTATATTAATTTGAGGTTGGGCCCAGGCATTGCGAGCAGCCTGAATGGAAGCTTCATCTGCCCACTAAGTTTTAAATTGTAAGAACTGAGCAGGAATTAGACAAGCTCGAGTAATAGTGTCCCAGTCAGTAGGAATCATCTGACTGGAAACAGCAACATTCTTTAACGGTCCCATTTCAAAAGGAGAACCTGGTCCATACTGATTTATAGCGTGTTTAAATTTTTTGAGTAATTTAAAAGGAAAAGGCTCAAATGTAGCTATAATATTTCCCTGTTGATCTGCGGGGTGTATTCAAACAGGGAACTGCCAAGCCTCTAAATCCCACTTTTGTCTAGCTTGCTGAATTCCTGCCTGAATAGAACTAAGAGCAGTCGCTCAAGGCGCTGCTCGAACAGTCACCAGGGTAACTACTTTTCACCCAGTGTCCTCCAGAAAAGAAAGATCTGGAGGGTCGTTTTCTTCAAAATAATAATGAGGGGGTGCAGAAGGGTAGGGATGAACCTCTCCTTCCTTTTCTGCTTTAGATTTAGGTGGCAAATAAACCTGGTCTGTAACCTCTACTGTTACTTTGTTATACTCTCCTTCCTCCTCATCATCAGTGTGAAAAAGTTCCAAGGTAGAACGAACCACAGCCCACACTTGTCCCATTGTTACCCTGAAGCTTCCGAGCTCCCCTTCTTACTCACCACGGGGATTGCTTTAAGAGTACTCAGGTGTCCTCCAGCTAGTTCCACATTCTCCAATCGTTGCTCCAGCGATCCTTTGACCTATATTCGAGCCCCCATGAATTTGCATCACTTGCTGAGACCAGGTCGGTCGGGGAGACCCTAACCCAGCAGCGCTAGAGGAATTAAAGATATACACACTGAAATATAGAGGTGTGAAGTGGGAAATCAGGGGTCTCACAGCCTTCAGAGCTGAGAGCCCTGAACAGAGATTTACCCACGTATTTATTAACAGCAAGCCAGTCATTAGCATTGTTTCTATAGATATTAGATTAACTAAAAGTATTCCTTATGGGAAACGAAGGGATGGGCTGAATTAAAGGAATAGGTTGGGCTAGTTAACTGCAGCAGAAGCATGTTCTTAAGGCACAGATCACTCATCCTATTGTTTGTGGCTTAAGAATGTTTTTAAGTGGTTTTCCACCCTGGACGGGCCAGGTATTCCTTGTCCTCATTCCAGTAAACCCACAACCTTACAGCGTGGGTGTTATGGCCATCATGAACATGTCACAGTGCTGCACAGATTTTGTTTATGGCCAGTTTTGGGGCCAGTTTATGGCCGGATTTGAGGGGTCTTGTTCCCAACAGTTCCTCAGGGTAAGGCTGCCCTAACGCCTGTGGGGACCTTCTTTGGTGGCTCCCCAGGAAGTAAGGAGATGGGAATTGTTCTGTAGAGGTCTACAGCAGCACTGCTTGCTGAGGCGGGGGACAATTGTTGTACATTTGTAAGGGCAGTGGCTGTGCTGGGTATGCCTCGGTTTGTTGAGGGGCTCAAGGTGGGTCCCTCTTCCTATTTCCTGAAAGAGGTTGCCCATCTTTGCTAAATTTAGAATGACACGGACTTGCCTAGTGATTGCCTTTCTTACACCAGGGACATACACTGGGACTTTTCTGTTGATTGATGGTAGTAGTTTTCGTCTTTTTAATTCCTTTCTACATTCCTTTCTTGTGTCCAATTTGCCCACAATTAAGGCAAGAGCCTGAGAAATGAAGCATATTTTTTCTTACTCTTAATCTAGCCATAGCCTGAGCTAAAAGAATAGCCTTATGTAAGTTACCTCCAATGTCATCGCAAGCCTTAATATATTTAGTTAAATGAGCCTTCTCTCTCAGGGGTCTAATAGCAGTTTGACACTCTGCATTAGCATTATTGTATGCAAGAAGCTGTATTACAACATCTTGAGCTGTTTTTATCATTTATGGCTTTATACACAGCCTCTTGGAGCTGAGCAATAAAATTAATATATGGTTGTTTAGGTCCTTGTCAGACAGAACTGAAATAAGGATACTTTTCCCCTGTAACATTTATCCTTTTCTATGCCTGTAAGCACATGAAGCACAGCTGAACAATGGCAACATCTTCCATTACTGCTTGATTCTCTAATCAACCCCGGTTAGGGCCAACTCATATTAACTGATCAAAGAAAACAGGCACAGGTGGCTGCACTTCTGTGTTTTCATTTGCCTGAGTTTGAGCTTCATCAGCCTACCAAGTTTTAAACTGCAAGTACTGAGATGGAGTGAGAACAGGTTTTGTCAAAGTATCCTAATTTTATAGTAGTAATCTATTACCAAGAGCCATATTTTTTAATAAAGTTTGCACAAAAAGAGAGTTCAGTCCATATTGACTAATGGCTTGCTTAAATTCTTTAGTAACTTAAAAGAAAAAACAGCCTAATTAGCTATATTCTGTCCTACTTGCTGGATTATAGTAACGGGAAATTGCCATGCTTCAAGGTCTCCCTTGGCTTTAGCTTTTTGAATAGAATTTTGTCTAGCTCCACCAATTGCTCCAGGTTTTAATGTTGCAACTACAGGAGCAGTAAGTTTTTCAGCTAATTTATTTTCTCACCCATTTAGGGGAGAGAGAAGAGGTGGCCATTCACTTAATTCAGCAGGTGGAGCAAATGGGCTAGTAAAACATACTTTTTAAAGTCTTTCTTTTCTTTAATCTCCTCCGGTAGCTGTTCTTCACACTCAGAATTTGAAGTTAGTTTTTTACACTCATCCTCCTCTTCCTCATCTGACTCTGCCTCATCATCTCTTTGAAATGGCTCAAAGTCTGCCTTTATTAGTGCCCACACTGACCATACAGAAACTGGAATTTTTGCTCCATCTTTATATGCCTTTTAAAAATCTCTTCCAATTCTCTCCCGTTCATCTAACTTCATACTCCTTTGTTCTGGAAACCATGGGCAAAACTGTTTTACTGTACTAAAGAGTGATAACAAATTCTAAGTGCTAACTTTCACTCACCATCTTTGTATGTCCTCGGGTGTCTTTTGATGATGTGTCCTCTGCTTTCACATGCTCTAGCCTTCCTTCATCAGGGTCTTTGTCATCCCATGTTGGGCGCCAAGAATGCTGGGGTGATCAGACCCAACACTAGGTCATGGGGGTGACAAAGTCCGGTGGAGTCAAAGGAATGAGAAAAAGACAGTTTGAGAGAGAAAGTGGGACCAGGGGACCATCACAAGTGTGGAGTCTGCAAAGTCCCCAAGCTCTGGGAGCCCACACTATTTATTGGTGCTCAAACAAAGAAACAGGTGGTGAGGATGTGGGGGTTGAAAGGAAACGGAGTATCAAGTGAATGAGAAACATATGGCCCTGCCTCAGCTTCTCTTCCAACACTCAGCTTTTCTCCTAACACGTCCCCCTTAAGAACAGGAATAAAATAGGGATGCCTGTTCTCACCACTCCTGTTCAACAAGTCCTAGCCAGAGCAATCAGGCAAGAGAAAGAGATAAAATGCATCCAAATAGGAAATGAAGTCAAATTATCTCTCTTAACTGATGATATGATTCTACACCTAGAAAACCCTAAAGACTGTGCCAAAAGGCTCCTAGAACTGATAAAAAAAACTTCAGCGAAGTTTCAGGATAAAAAAAATCAACATATAAAAAGAAGTAGCATTTCTGTACACCAAAAATATTTAAACTGAGAGGTAAGTCAAGAGTGCAATCCTGTTTACAACAGCAACCCCCAAAATAAAATAAAAGAAGAATATGTCTAACCAAGGAGGTAAAGGATATCTAAAAGGAGAACTATAAAACACTGCAGAAAGAAATCATTGATGACAAAACAAATGGAAAACCATTCCATGCTCATGGATTAGAAAGAGCAATATTGTTAGAATGGCTATACTGCCAAAAGCAATCTACACATTCAACATTATTCCTATGAAACAACCAATGTCGTTTTTCACAGAATCAGAAAAAAACTATTCTAAATTTCGTATGGATTTTTAAAGAGCCCAGACAACCAAAGGAAACCTAAGCAAGAAGAACAAAGCTGGAGACATCACATTACTTGACTTCATACTATACCCTAAGGTCACAGTAGACAAAATAGCATGGTGGCGATATGAAAACAGACACAAAGACCAATGCAACAGAATAGAGAACCCCAAAATAAACATGCACCTACAGCCATCAGCTTTCCCAGGATAACACAAATAGAGCCAAGTGGCACCTGCACATTACATTGTGGAAGAAAAACCCAAGCTCAAGAAACCCAAACTTGTATTATGGGAAGTTCACTTGGCTGTACCCTTCCCAAGAGGGAGAAATTATCTGCATTATACTAGACAGTAAATAAAATTTTCCTTTGTTCCAGAAGGAGGTACTGGTTTTCTATTCCAAGGGTGTTTTCTATACAAACATGCTTGAAAATAATCATTTAGAACAAGAAAGTCAGCGTCCACACTTGCAAAATGTGTGGAAATTAAAGAGATCCAAAAACTGTTTCTCTACCAATTTCTATGTTTTAAAAATCACATTTTCCCCATATAATATGCTTTTAATATGTGATCATATTCTGAAATTGTCTTAGCATTTACTCCCATATCTGAGTCCAGAAGGATACAATAAATTTAATTAAATTTAGTAACACTTCAAATAGTAGTGATTGTAATAGCAGAGCTAGTTTGTAGCATAAGGAAAAAAAATTATATTATTAGGTGACACAAATAATGCTAGCCAACATTTCTAAGTGTCATGGTAAGTACAGTGATTATTTTCTTTTTTTCTGAATCTTTTTTATTTTATTTTATTTTTTTTTCCCATAGGTTATTGGGGTATGGTGGTATTTGGTTCCATGAATAAGTTCTTTACTGGTTATTTGTGAGATTTGGGTGCACCCATCACCCGAACCGTGAAATGAGTTCAAATGAATTGTCAAACGTATGTGGGAAAAGTGGAATCAGTTTGTGAGAAAAAGCAAAAAACTCAACAGAAATGCTGATAAAGCATCATCCCTTCATGGCTAGCGCTGCCAGGACACTAGAACACCAAAATCAGCTAGGGAAATTTTGTAGAAGTCCCAGATGTACTAAATGTTCTGTGAATACACAGAGATATAATTATAACTGTTACCTGCATGTAGAGTAAAGATGAGAAGGCATTGGTCTTGGTGGCAGCTACCTCAGGAGTTACAAAGCAGACGTGGTCCCAGGACAGTATATGTCAGGGCAAAGCTGTCCTCAGAGGCTATTAGGAGCTGGTTATGGCACAGACATTGTAAGTCAGATGGTCTCATTACTTTCAATGACAAAACCAAAATTACTTTTGCATCAGCCTAATACAACGGCCTGGCAAGAGCACAGAAAAAGTCCCTGTGCTGTTAGGTGGGGACCTCTGATGCAGCACAATTCCTTCATTCCCTTCTCCAAAACCCCCTCTTCCAATTCCACTGAAGAGAGAATCTGATGGAAGTGCTGTGTAAGCAGGCTCAGATATATCTACCACTATAGACAGTAGAGGTGATTCACAAATCCAAGCCTATCAAATACATCATAAATAAGTTACACGTTTAATTTTTTTTGAAATTAGGATCATGATATAAAAGTTATCAGAATCAAAACTGTCACTAATGTTTAAAAAGAAAAGAAAAAACCTGGACAAATAGATTCAGAGAAGGCCTTGAAGAGAGGGTTCTCATGCTTCTAGGCCTGATACAAACTGTCACAAAATACCACAAAATCCACAACCTTGCACAAAGGCCATAGCAACCTTACACAAAATACACTTCTGTGAGGACATGTATCCAGCAACCGCCTGCCCAAACTTCAACTGACATCGACCTTGTTGTTGATCTTTATAGTCAAAGGTAACTATATCAAAACAATTATAGAAGCCTCTTCATTTTTCCTTTATTTATTTTTTTTCTACTCCCCCATAATTCCAGGTTGATCGCTTTTCTTTTAAAGACCTTGTCTTCCTTTACCATTTGAATCTACACAGTTTGCTTTGTCATGCATATTCCCATTGCAGTGCCCTCCTCCCTAAGATGTGTCTTTTTCGTTTAGAGAGCCTTTCTGTTTGTTATTTAGGTTTACAATGAGAAGACGTGTAAAGTATTTTTACTGTCTTCCTAGGAAAAAATCACTGACTTACAATATTTATATTTATTTATTTACATTCCTGGGGATGAGGAATTAAAGATTTCACAAATTTTCTTATTGAGAAGATCGAAGTTTTCATGTAAGCAAAACTGAATATGTAAATTATGCTGCAGATAATATGCTCAAATGTTTACTTGTATTTAATTTGTTACACATGAATATTGCATATGTAAGATAATATACTAAGAAATTATCACATTTAATGAAATGCTTTAATCAAATTCCTGATTGAATTTTTGATATCAATATATTTTTCCTTGTTTAATCCATCTTTAGAGTGAACAGGGCTGTCTAGGCCAAAGTCCTCACTTCTATCTAAATTGTCTGAGTTACAGAACTTTTTGAATTTATTATGTTGTCACAGGAAGTTTCTTATTGCTTGTTTAAAGGAGTCTCTCTCAATATGATGCAGAATACAAAAGCACTGAAGGGCATATATCCTGAGTTTCTGTTACTGAAGCCAAAGGTTGCCAATTTCTTGTAGATCCTGCTAGAGTTAAACTTCATTTAAGTAATCATTAAAGGCTGCATTTATTCCCTCACTTGAACTTTTGATTTCACACTATTAGGACTAATCCTCTAAGTCTTTGCTAAGTTATGTTCCTCCTTTTCTTGTGGCTTGACTCTGATGCTCTCTATATGCAACATCAATTGACATAAAGTACATTCAGGGCAAGAGAGTTTCTTTAAATATTACTTTGTTATTCAAAATAATCACAAAAGCACTCATCGTAGGAAAACTTGTGAGGACTCAAATATAGGGAAATACTTTTTCTTTCTAAGGCACAATTCTCTAAAGAAGTTCACCTTAATTTGAATATACATGGGAAAATATCCTTGTTCACTAATAGTCTATATTCACTCTGTTTTCTTCCCTCATAGACCAGCCGGTTCACTATTATTCTCCAAATGATGCGTGCCTCCCTAGAGTCCAGGCTATCTGCATATCTAATTTTTCCCACAAATTACTGTTTTGAATTGCACTGAATTC